>NC_000010.11:16828181-16979696 GCF_000001405.40 Homo sapiens | reverse complement strand
TCTTGAGTTAATTTTTGTATAAGGTGTAAGGAAGGGGTCCAATTTCAGTTTTCTGCATATGGCTAGCCAGTTTTCCCAACACCATTTATTAAATAGGGAATCCTTTCCTCATTGCTTGTTTTTGTCAGGTTTGTTAAAGATCAGATGGTTGTAGATGTGTGGCGTTATTTCTGAGGCCTTTCTTCTGTTCCATTGGTCTGTATATCTCTTTTGGTACCAGTACCATGCTGTTTTGGTTACTGTAGGCTTGTAGTATAGTTTGAAGTCAGGTAACGTTATGTCTCCAGCTTTGTTCTTTTTGCTTAGGATTGTCTTGGCTGTACAGGCTCTTTTTTTGTTCCACATGAAATTTAGAGTTTTTTTTCTAATTCCGTGAAGAAAGTCAATGGTAGCTTGATGGATATAGCATTGAATCTATAAATTACTTTGGACATTATGGCCATTTTCATGATATTAATTCTTCCTATCCACGAGCATGGAATGTTTTTCCATTTGTTTGTGTCCTCTCTTATTTCCTTGAGCAGTGGTTTATAATTCTCCTTGAAGAGATCCTTCACATCCCTTGTAAGTTGTATTCCTAGGTATTTTATTCTCTTTGTAGCAATTGTGAATGGGAGTTCACTCATGATTTGGCTTTCTGTTTGGCTATTACTGGTGTATAGGAATGCTTGTGATTTTTGCACATTGATTTTGTGTCCTGAGACTTTGCTGAAGTTGCCTCTGTCTCAGCTTAAGAAGATTTTGGGCTGCGACGATGGGGTTTTCTAAATATACAATCATGTCATCTGCAACAGAGACAATTTGACTTCCTCTCTATTTGAATATGCTTTGTTTCTTTCTCTTGCCTGATTGCTGTGACCTGAACTTCCAATACTATGTTGAATAGGAGTGGTTAGAGAGGGCACCCTTGTCTTGTTCCGGGCTACCTGATTTTCTAACAAAAAGTTTTTCATCTTTCATTTGTGTATATCAACATTTCATTCAAATACAAACCAGATTCTCTTGGTTACTGGATCTTTCAATGTTAGTGTCCTGATAGTTTCCTACACAAGATCCAACTGGCTAGCTTCTTTCAAATTTAACCCAAGAAAACTCAAAGGTTTGTTTACATTTTTCCAAGTAGTCCATTTTAATGGTATGATTTCAATATTATTTTACAAGATTAGGTTATTAATGAAAGTTAAGTTTATTTATCACTGTATATTAACCATCCAAATGAGTCTTCAGAGTCTAAGTTGGCTAAGCATCATGCAGACTGAAAGCGTAGAACATCCAGCTACTCTCCTGACAAAGACCATTTTGAAATTTTGGATGACATTTACAAACATCTTTCTAAAAGTAGCCAATGGTTCATGAGGTAGTGTGAAGTTTCTGAGTGAATATCTGAGAGAGGTGTGAGTCCAGTCTTTGGGACCATTTTTTCCTGCAGGGCCTTTACTGATCCACAAAGGTTTAGCAGCTCTTCTGAGAGCCTCTCAGGACAAAGAGGACCAAAGTTTGAGTCCAGAGCTTTGTTAGAGTGGCAGTCTTGGTAAGCCATTCGTATCTTAGGTAAAATGAAAGGAAAACAGCCTTCACTGAGACTGCATTCAATATTTGAGTTACCTGAGTGAATCCCCAAAATCTGAAGCCATGAAATAATGAGAGTGAATCTTGTATTTCTCGTGCATCTAGGCACTGGACATCCAGCAAAAGCAATTTAAAATCTTCTTCAAAGAGAGATATTAACATTCTAGACATCATTTCTACCTATAATTTTTCATGTGTAATAGCCGATTAAATAAGAGAGTTCCCTGACCTCCGTTACAGGACATTCAACAGGGGTGTGTCTCATCTGTTCAAGTGCTGCAGGTTCAAACCCCTTATGGGCAGGGAAACATGCAGACAGGGGTGCAGGAGCCGGGGAGAGTGCTTCTGGACTCCGGGCCCCATGGTAGCATCTAGGGGTGGGTGCCTACAACTCCCAGAGCCCTAGTGGGCATGCTACAGTGCTCTTTTAGCTCTGCCATCCTCAGATGGCTTAAGTTTTAACCAGCTCAGTGTCCTCTTGGTACCCATCTTCTTGTTTGGTGTCCAGGAAGAATCAGGTCACACATGGACTTGAAGGATGGTGAATGCAGGGGTTTTACTGGATGATGGAGACAGCTCCCAGTGGGATGGATGGGGAGCTGGAAAGGGGGTGGAAAGGGAAGATGATCCTCCCCCTGGAGTTCACTGTCCCATGGCCGATTTCTTCTTTGACTGACCCTGGCTGAACTCCTCTCAATGTTCAGATGCTCCTTCTCTTCTCTCTTTCTCTGCTGTACTGCTCTTCTGCTCCTCTGCTCTTCTATTTATCTGCTCATCTGCTTGTCTACTTTTGAAGCCTGGGTTTAGGGGTTTATATGAATACAGGATAAGGGGGTGTGGCAGGCCAAAAGGCAAAATTTGGGTGTGGAAACAGGAATGCCTGTTCCCATTTAGGGCCATGGGTTTCCAGGCTTGAGAGTGGGGCCTTTGCTGGGGAACTGCCCTCTTCTACCTAGTATTTCCCTGTATCCTGTGTGTATCACCAACACACTATCAAAGATAGTCATGTACTTGAGGGGACAATATAACAAAAATGAGATGTAATATGAGTAAGAGACAATAGAAACAAATCCACTAATATGCCAGATAGTAAAGTTACCTGGCACACTTGCTATACAACTGTGATTACTCAACTCATGGAAATAAAAGTCAAACTGAGAACTTTCAGCAAGGAACTGCATACTATAGAAAGTGACATTGCAATATGAAGAAGACCCAACTACAAATTTGAGAACTGATAAATACCATAGCTAAAATTAACACCTCAGCAGAAGGCTTTTTGGGGGGACTAGGCAGAGATGAAGAGATAAATAGTGACTACAGAGAAACAGTGAACTGGAAGATAAGTCAAGAATCTACTCAGAAAAAAGTATGGATAAAAAAAGGATGAAAAATATATAAGAGAGGTTAAGACACATAGAGGACACTCAGAAAATATATAACACACACTTAATTGGAGTCTCACAAGGAAAAGAGAGATATATGGAACAGAAGCAAACTTTGAAGAGCTACTGACTAAAATTTTTCCAAAACTGGTGGAAGTCATCATTAAAAAAATAGAATCTCAAGGAACCCAAACAGCAAAGCAGGATAAATAGAATGACGTACTTTTCTAAAAAAAAAATAATAATAACAAAGATAAAGAGAAAATGTTACAGTCAGCTAGAGGAGTAGGTAGGTGGGGAACAGATTGCTTGTTAGAAAGTAGAGACTAAATGCTGACTTTTCAACCAGGATTGGAAGTAAAAAAAATTTTTTTAAAGACAATAGACTGATATATTCAGATTAAAGAAAAAAAAGTAACTACCGGCCAGGAACTCTATGCTCTCCTAAAATTCCTTTAAGAATGAAGGTGAGGATGTGTATGGTAGATCACACCTGTAATTTCAGCACTTTGGGAGCATGAGGCAAGAGGATCACTTGAGCCCAGGAGTTTGAGACCAGCCTGGGCAATGTAGTGAGACCCTGTCTCTACAAAACAGTTAAAAAATTAGCCAAGCATGGTGGCACAGACCTGTAATCCCAGCTACTTGGGAGGCTGAGGTGAAAGGATCACTTGAGGGTGGAAGGCAGGAGTTGCAGTGAGCACAGATCTTGCCACTGCACTTCAGCCTAGGCAACAAGCAAGACCCTGTCTGTTAAAAAAAAAAAAAAAAAGGAATAAAGGTGAAATAAATATTGAAGCAAAAGAAGGGTCTTGGCCTGGCGTGGTGGCTCACAACTGTAATCCCAGCACTTTGGGAGGCCTAGGCAGGCAGATCATGAAGTCAGGAGGTCGAGACCATCCTGGCCAACATGGTGAAACCCCATCTCTATTAAAAATACAAAAACTAGCTGGGTGTGGTGGTGTGTGCTTGTAATCCCAGCGACTTGGGAGGCTGAGGCATGAGAATCGCTTGAACCCAGGAGGTGGAGGTTGCAGTGAGCCAAGATTGCACCACTGCACTCCAGCCTGGCGACACAGCGAGACTCCTTCTCAAAAAAAAAAAAAAAAAAAAAAAAAGAAGGTCTTTAAGAGAAGTTTGAATGGGCCAGAGACAAAGCTACTTATAGTTTTGACCATGGTGGGTATTGCTCTACCCCTTGTTTCCTCCCTCGTCTGCATGGTGTTCTTTTCTTTGATACAGTGCAGAATCCATGGAATTTAACATACAAAGTGTGTCACCAAACCAAAGCCTAGGTCAACAGCATGCCAGCATGGCTAGGATTTTCCCTCTTGTGGTCATGAGGAGGGTTTTCCACCTACATGGGACATAAACACACAGACAAGGTTTTCTATGAACACTGCCATATTTCAGCATGCAGCTGGGCTTGGCTTAACAAAGTGCAGCAGGAGGAAACAGCAGGAGTGAAACCTCAAATGTGATCGGGTCTTAGGCACGGAGATGGAAAATAAACTCAAAAACAAGTGCTGGGAGGAGTTTGGGCTGGTAGGTAAGGCAAAATATAAAATGTAATAATAGTCCAAACAAGTTGTCAGAATCAGATAATGCTGTATGAAGTACAGTTGACTCTTGAACAATGCTGGGATTAGGGTCATTGGCCCCCTGCTTCCCTGTCGTGCAGTGAAAAATCTACATACAACTTTCAAGTCCCCCAAAACTTAACTACTAATACCTATGACGGACAGAAGGCTTACCATTAACATAAACAGTCAATTAACAGATATTTTATATGTTTTATATATTACATACTGTATTCTTTCAACAAAGTAAGCTAGAGAAAATAAAATGCTATCAAGAAAACTGTAAAGAAGAGAAAATATATTTACTATTTATTAAGTGGAAGTTGATCATCATAAAGGTCTTCATCCTCATCATCTTCACATTGAGTGGGTTGGGGAGGAAGAGGGAGGGGGCGCTAGTCTTGCTGTCTCAGGGGTGGCAGAGACGGAAGAAAATCTGTGTTTAAGTGGACCCAGGCAGTTCAAACCTCTGTTGTTCAAGAGTTAACTGTAGGCCGGGCGCGGTGGCTCACGCCTGTAATCCCAGCACTTTAGGAGGCCGAGGCGGGGGGATCACGAGGTCAGGAGATCGAGACCATCCTGGCTAACATGGTGAAACCCCGTCTCTACTAAAAATATAAAAAGCAGCCAGGCATGGCGGGAACTCGGGAGGCAGAGCTTGCATTGAGCCAAGATCACGCCACTGCACTCCAGCCTGGGCGACAGAGTGAGACTCCCTCTCAAAAAAAAAAAAGAGTTAATTGTAGTTGGAAAATCCCAGCCAGTGGGCAGAAGAGACATTAGAAGCAAATACCTCTAAGAACCCAGGCAAGACATTAAAATAAGAAGTGAGCCACACCGATAGTGTGAGTCAGCACAGTGCTTCAGCTAAGAAATCTAGCTCTAATATAGGGTGGTTCTGGGGCTGAGCCTGGACTTTGTGATATTCTAGCTGTGTTCTTTGGAAGAAAGTTAACCTTTCAGCTTCAGTTTCCTTAATGGAAATGGGGATAATAAGAGGACCTAGGTCAGATTTATTGTTAGGTATTTGAGATAATATAGATGACCTGCTTGCTGTCACATAGAGAGTTCTCCACTTGTGCTAGCCATTATGATGCTGCTGATGGTGAGTGTTTTGGGGGAGGTTCATTTAATGAGGACTAGAAGAAGAGACAGCGCGGAATACTAGGAGCAGAAATGCACTTAGAAGTCAGAGTCAGACATGCATGCCCGTGTTCATCGCGGCACTGTCCACGATAGCAAAGGCATGGAATCAACCTAGATGCCCATCAATGGTGGATGGGATGAAGAAAACGTGCTACGTATACACCAGGGAATGTGACACAGCCACAAGAATGAACAAGACCATGTCCTTTTCAGCAACATGGATGGAGCTGGAGGCCATAATCCTAAATGAAGTAACACAGGAACAGAAAACTAAATACTGCATGTTCTCACTCAGGAGTGGGAGCTAAACACTGAGTACATATGGACACAAAGAAGGGAACAACAGGCGCCAGGGCCTACTTGAGGTTGGAAGCTGGGAGGAGGGAGCAAGTTGAAAACCACCCATCACGTTCTTTGCTCATTACCTGGGTGACAAAATAGACTGTACACCAAACCCCCATGACAGGCAATTTACCTCTATAGCAAACCTGCACATGGACCCTTGAACCTAAGGTGAAAGGTTTTTAGAAAAAGAAGTCAGGGTCAGGACTTGCCGTCTGTAATTCTGGGCCTCAAGCTCTTAAGCAGAAGAGCCCACTTTCGAATCTTCCTCGTAGTATAGCACCTAGGATTTAGCATATCTAGGGCTCAGTGCTCTGGAATCATTGTGAAAATGGCCGACATCATTCATTTGGGCCTGGAAGCCAGGGAAGCGTTCACACTGGAGGCGACATTTAAGTGGCAGAGTCTCGCCAGTAGAAATGCAGCAGTGAGGCCACGAGGGGAGGCTGCAAGGGAAGGATGGGGAAATGGTGCACGCACATTTGGGAATAAAAAATGAGAGTGTTGTCCCTGGAGCGTGAAGAAATGCCGGGGAGCATGTGGAGACCAAGGGGCTACAGAAGACATCTGAGCTCTCTTCTGCTCCAGTTAAGAATTTGAAATTATCCTATAGGTAGTATGGAGTCAGTGAAAATTTTCTGTAAAACGGGAATAACATACTCAGAGCTGTATTCTACAGTGACAACAGGCAGCAGTGTGTGAAGAATGGCTTGGCAGAGAAAAAGAAAGATGGTAGCATGTCTGTTTGGGAAGCAATGGAAAAAGCTTGGATCAGAGGTGATAAGGTCTCATAGTAGGCAGTGGTCTTGGGACACATGGAGAGCGCAGGGACACGTGGAGAACTGTCACGGTGGCAGTCACTAGAATTAGAGGCTAATTACATGGTGGTGGGTGGGGCTGGTGATAGAGATGGTGGGGGGAAGCCTATTTGCTTGAAGAATGAATGAATGGCCGGGAGTGATGGCTCATACCTGTAATTCCAGCACTTTGGGAGGCCGAGACAGGAGAATTGTTTGAGCTCAGGAGTTTGACACCAGCCTGGACCCCATCTCTGCAAAAAAATTAAAAAATTAGCCTGGCCAAGTGGCACATACCTGTATTCCCAGTAACTCAGGAGGTTGAGGTGGGAGGATGGCTTGAGCATGGGAGGTCGAGGCTGCGGTGAGCTGTGATCACACCACTGTACTCCAGCCTGGGTGACAGCATGACCCTGTTTCAAAAAAAAAAAAAATTGTGAATGATGAGGCCATTAACTGAGTAAAGGGAGTAGATGATAGTGAGTTTGACTTGTAAACTTTTGGGTTTAAATATTATATAGTTTGACATAAGAGTTCAGAGCTTGGGATAGGATCTGAGCTAGACATATACAATTGAGGATAATTTCTGTATATTGGGTGGTTATTAAAGTTGTGGGAGTAGGTATGATCACTTTTAGGAGTATTTTACCAAGAGAAAGGGGCCAAGCCAACTCCTGGGGAAACACTGCCATGTAACGGGTGGATGAAAGATCAGAGGAGAGGAGGCTGAGGAGGTGCGCTGAGTGCTTGGTGGAGAACCAGAAGAGAGTGGTAGCATTCAAACCACGAGGGAAGCTGAATTTCAAGGGTGGGTGATCAAAGGTATCAAATCCCATGCAGGATGCCAACGAGCGTGAGGATTGCAACAAAGCCCCTGGATTCCGTCTTTAATAACCTGCAAGGAGCAGGATTGTGGCGGGTGGTGGTGGAAGACTCAAGGTCACAGTGGTTAGGAGGTGCAGGAGCTTCTGAGCTTTTCCCCAGAGTTACGGAAATGAGTGGCATAAGGAGAAAATGGGCAGTAACCAATGGGTTAACCAAAATCAGTGGAGAGTTGGTTTTTTAAAAAAAATGGAGAAATATAAGTTGTGTGAAGAGGGCAGGTGGAAAAAGAGCAGCTGAATGTGAGAGCCAGGCGAACAGTAGAGAAAATCATGTTTTCAGGACAGAGACACCAAGAAGCGCCAGATTGGTTCTATGAATGTTGTACTTTTTAGAATAAGAAATTGAAACCCATGGCTTGGCACAAGATTTTTCTGATTTATAAATTCATTATGTTAAAAATTGCATAAATTGTATACAAACTAAGTCATTTTTTCTTGGATGATTTATAAATCAACTTTACAAAAAGATAAGGAAGTTTTAAAAGAAAACAAGACTGTCCAGGTAAGTTGGGGTAGAGATCTGCTATATATTTGCCAAATGTGCCCACTTAAGGGGACAGGAGGTCTGCAGAGGTTTGGAACCAGACCAGGCAATGCCCTGGCAAGGCTGGAAGCTTGTTAGTTAGTTGTCCAGGGATTCATGAAGGCCGGAGTTGAAGCACCAGCCCTCTATCTTTACAGCCAGATGGACACTGGACGGGAAACGTACCCCAAAGTCCAACATCTTACATAATATCTCTGCAGTCTCAGTTCATATAAAGCCAATCCTTCATTTTGGAGACATTCAAGTTAATGTCCTGGTCCTGTTGCTTAGACAGAGTTATTAGCAAAGAGAAAAATATTCAGTTGCCAGTGATGCTGTCAGATAATGTTGGGGTTCAGGAGATTTTTAACAGAGTTCAAGTGTACTCTTTAAATACCAGTGAAAATTATGCTGGAATGGGACCAGCCATCCTGTTTTTTCAAAACTTCTATAACAATTTGGGTTGTTAGAAGAAGAAATAGTAATTTAGCTGTATGTTAAATATGATTTCACATATGATTAACTGTCATAAACCTATAGATACATAGAATGTTAAGGTTGGAAGAAGAAAGCTTAGAGTTCGTTTGCTGTTGTCACCTAATTTTTTAAAAAAAGACATTGAGGTGGAGGTGGGGCAGTGCAAAAAATAAAAATTAATTAAAAAATAAAAAAGATACTGAGATCCAGAAATGTCAGGGTCAAGGCTAAGTAGAAATTAACAGCAGGATCAGCACTAAAACGAAAGCCTTATGCTTCCTACGAAGTGAATAAGTATTTTGGTAAAATATAAAAATTGCAGTTATGTACAGGATACGGAATGGCAGACTAGAAAAATAGAGGGAGAAAATAAATTTAGGGTCAGGCTGGAGCCACTTTGATTTTTTTTTTTTTTTTGAGATGGAGTTTCACTCTTGTTGCCCAGGCTGGAGTGCAAAGGTGTGATCTCAGCTCACTGCGACCTCCACCTCCCAGGTTCAAGCAATTCTCCTGCCTCAGCCTCCCAAGTAGCTGGGATTACAGGCATGTGCCACCATGCCCGGCTAATATTTTGTGTTTTTAGTGGAGATGGGGTTTCACCATGTTGGCCAGGCTGGTTTTGAACTTCTGACCTCAGGTGATCCACCCGCCTCGGCCTCTGATTACAGGTGTGAATGCTGGGATTATAGGCGTGAGCCACCGTGCCCAGCCCACTTTCACTTCTATATCTGATAAGCCCAGCCTTCATTTGTCAATAGAAGGAAAAGTGTTAAGAATTCAAATATGAAATGGAAAGTGTCCTTGCTTTGAAGTCAGGAGGTCAGGGTTTCCTTCATTACTTTCCCCTTCGGTGCCAAATATGTACCAGACACTGCCAGGTGCTTGTTTCTGGACGTGTACCACCCCTCACCCTCTTCATGGCTTGGGGTTCTTAGTTTGCTTATTTAGAAAATCAGGTGCCTGGGGAACAGAAGCAGAAAGAAGAAAACTAAGGAAGAGGATTCAGTTAGGAGTTGCATTTGTGGGTAAGAAAAGGAGGACAAGATGGCAGATGAAATGGCCACTGAGGGCCCAGTGACGTCAGTGGTGGTTTCATCCTCAAAGTTGAAGTCAACCTCAGGCAGCCACCAGGCTTCACATGATCTCTGGGTTACAAGACTATCCCCATACTCTTCTGGGAATACAATAGAAAGCTCTTCTTAGAGTAGGCCTAGTCCCTATAGGTTCCAAATTGAGGCAAGCTAAGCCCACATGTAACAGCCATTACTCTTGGTGTCATGGAAACAAAGGCAAAATTCGCCAAGTAGAAGAAACAAATGAACATTTAAAAATGGAACAGTAGACTGGGCTCAGTGGCTCACGCCTGTAATCCCAGCACTTTGGGATGCCAAGGCAGGCGGATCATGAGGTCTAGAGATTGAGACCATCCTGGCCAACATGATGAAACCCCGTCTCTACTAAAAATACAAAAATTAGCTGGGTTTTGTGGTGCATACCTGTAGTCCCAGCTACTCGGGAGGCTAAGGCAGGAGAATCACTTGAACCCCGGAGGCGGAGGCTGCAGTGAGCTGAGATCGTGCCACTGCACTCCAGCCTGGCAACTGAGCAAGACTCCATCTAAAAAAAAAAAAATGGAGCAGTAATACACAGCCTCCATCCTCTTTCACAGAACCCACAGCAGTAGTCTTTATATCGCCAAAGCACCAATGTTTTTGATGCATGAATTGTTAATAGATGCATAGCTGAATAAATGAATTTTTGTCATCTCTGCTCCTGCAATGCTCAGTGCTTTGGTGGAAAATCTCAGAGGACACCATTGGGAATGTGCTGTACTGAGTTCACTCCCTGGCATTGTTATTGATATACAATCTTCGTGTTGTGAGCCACATGAGCACTTAGATAACATCACAGAAGTGCGTTTTCTAGAATTGCATGCTGCTATAATGAGAAAAGGGAAAAACTGGATTTTTTGACTTCTATTGAAATTGTGATGGCATCGAGGGGAGCTAATCAGGAAGCTGGACTTGCAGGCAGGTTTCAACACATTTGGTAATATATTTGCACTTTCTGCTCAGTCACCTTCAAGTGTCTGGTGTAATTAACCTTGGGCTCTCCTCAATGACACATCAGGAGCATTTCTTGCTAAGGAAGCTGTGGGACCCATCGGCTGGGCATGGCCTTGTCTGGTCAGCACACAAGTGGCTTCATTACGTTTCCTTTCACGAAGGCTGAGTATTAAAGTGACCTCTGACTGACAGTTAAATTGCTTAATTAGAGCCTTTCTTCTAAGTCTTCGATTCATGTAGCTCTGCAAGCTCTTATTGATCTCCTAGAAAGGCTGCTTGTAGCTCAGTGTGAGAGCAGGAAGAGGAAAGTCCGTTCAGCAGCACCAGCTGGCCCCTGGAGATTCCTGACCTCTGCTTCCAGCATCCTCTTTGCTCAGATCATTGGAATGTCTGCTTTGTGAGAATCAGCAAGGAGCAGCTCAAAGCAAGCCGACCATGGTCCAGGTCCTGCCTCTCATTTGGAGGAAAACACAAACGAGGGCTAACAGAGCCTGGTACCAAAAAGCAAAAGCAAAAGCAATATGATTAGTAACTTCTGAAGCTTTTTGTGGCTATCTAGGAGAAAGAAAGAAAAGTGTCTGATGTGATCCGGAAAAAAAAAAAATTCCCTGTGCTCCCACCCAAAGCTGCAATGTCTGTTGTTGTTCCATTATTCGACAATAAAATGCAGGGTGGAACAGGGCAGATACCTAACGCAGCATCCTCTTTTGTTGTATTTTTGTAATACACCACCCATGATGTGTTTCCTTTTAAAACACTGATGGTTTCCAAAGCAGAGCAAACAGACACAGGAATAATAGAACTCTGGGTTTCAAAGAGATGATGGAAACAAGTCTTCTTTAAATATTTACTGTTTTACAAACAAATCCATGACAGAAACCAGTCTCTCTCTCTCCCCTCCTCTTCCTCTCTCCCTCTCTTTTCCTCTCTCTCTCTTTTCCTCTCTCTCTCTCCCTGTCTTTCTGTCCCTCTTTCTTTCCCTCTTCCTCTTGCTCTCTCTCCCTCTCTTCCTCTTTCCCCCTCTCTCTCCCTCTGTCTCTCCTTCTCTCTCTCTCCCTGTCTCTCCTTCTCTCTCTCTCCCTCTGTCTCTCCTTCTCTCTCTCTCCCTCTGTCTCTCCTTCTTTCTCTCTCCGTCTCTCCTTCTCTCTCTTTCTCCCTCCTTCTCTTCTTATCTTTCCCTTTCTTTGTTCCTCTCTCTCCCTCTCCCTTTTTGTCTCTTTCTCTCTCTCCTCCCTGTATCTCTCTCTCACTCTCTCTTTCTTCCCTCCCTCCTTTACGCCCCACCACAGGAATTTTTGTTTCCATCTGATACTTGAGGATGATCTTTTTCAAACGTTTATCTTGTGACTTGCATTTGTATTAACATGCTTAGCTACTTTGCTTCCTGGTGCGGGTGTCTTATTAACAACCAAATGCTGAGCCAGTGCTTTGAATCTGCAAGATGAAGGAAGAGTTGAGTTGAAGCCACAGCTCTCAATCTGTGGACACGGGTTTGGTTTGGCTTGGTTTCCATTTCAGCTCAGACTCTCCTTAAATGTTTATTTGTGAAAGTAAAACGAGCATCTTAGATTTCTTCTCATGTCAACATTTCCAGGAATCTTTGAGTCAGTGCTCGCAACAACTGCAAGTTTTTAGAGTTTATAGTCTCTTGTAAGATGTGAAGACTGAGTGGGAGAGTGTAGAACAAAGAAATAGGGGTGAACGCATCGTGATATGAGATGTGGGGTTGTGAATTGAACTTAGTATTGAATTTCCAAGGAGCGTAACTGGAAAAAAATCACTGACAAAGGAAACTGATGCTTCCTCCTTCCTCAGCCCCAAGAAGAGATGCTATAATGAGTAATATTTTCATTTCCTTCCGCATTCACATTTATGACTGTAACAGCTTGTATAATTTCCTGAGGGATTTCCCTCCCTATCACTTAATGTTTCCTCTATTTTGGAGAAGTTCGTATTCCAAAGTGGCAATTCCATTAGCAGGTATACCGCCATATTATAACATGTGAAAATACCTCATGGACTCTCGATCCTCAAAATCACTTTGCACCTCCATGTGAATTATCTCTCCTGTGCCCTAAATGTCTTATTCTTCACCACATTTTTGCACCCTGCTAAGATCAAAGGCAATCCAGGGCAGGAGACCTGTGTTACCATCTGGAGTTAAAAATGTAGCAAAGCGGGACTGGCACAGTGGCTCATGCCTGTAATCCCAGCACTTTGAAAGGCCAAGGTGGGTGGATCATTTGAGGTCAAGAGTTCAAGACCAGCCTGGCCAACATGGTGAGACCCTGTCTCTACTAAAAATACGAAATGTAGCTGGGTGTACTGGTGCATGCCTGTAATCCCAGCTACTTTGGAGGCTGAGACATGAGAATTGCTTGAACCTGGGAGACAGAGGCTACAGTGAGCCGAGATTGCACCACTGCACTCCATTCTGGGCGACAGAGCGAGACTCTGTCTCAGAAAAAAAAAAATGTAGTAAAGCATAAGGGTCCAGGTGAGAAGGAGGCCACACTAGACCAGAGAATGGCGGTTGGACCAGAGAAGGACAAGGAGGAGCTTTATATCTGAATCCAGGAATAGAATCAAGTTTATGTGGCAACGATAGAAGTTCTGGGTTTATGTATTGACCCCAGACACTGTGCTCTTTGTTACCCATTCTGCTAAGTGAGCCATGCTGGGAATCCCATGCACGTTCACTGGAATGGAATGCAGGACAGATGCCAACCACTTGGAAAGCCACGGGAGCCCAATATAAGACTTTCTCAAATGCTACTGAGGATGCTTGATTGCAGGTTCAGATGCAAAGGATGGGGGACTCCCACCCTATTTCCAGAGCTGCTGTGGTTTTCTTTCTTGGAGACCGTGAATATCTCACTTAGCTTCACAGAATCATGGTCTCTCAACATTCTAACTGAATGAATACAACTTGATTTCACCTTTTCTCTAGGTTTAATCATACTTGGTCGGACGTCAGACAGATGGGGTTTGTATATTGGCTCTGCACTGCTAAGCGTGTGATTGGGCAAGTCATGTATGTTTTCAGAGCTCAGTTTTCCCTGCTGCAAAGTGGAACTGTAAGAATCAAATGTAAACAAATGTATTTAAGTACCTATCAGTGTCTGGTTCAGATAAGTATTTGCTGCTATTCCTAATTTTTCTATTACAATGACTCCTGCTTCTATTACTATTAACGCTATGTTAAAGATCTTAAGGAATCTTTTAAAAAAATTTTCTCCCTGAGCAAGATGAAACTTAGTAAACAAGATAAAAAATCCAGTAGAAAAAAATTCCTCACTTCCTACTTTCCAACAATCTCAGGGAATATATTCCTGTTTTTTTTTTTTTTTTAGAAATAAAAATACAGATATTACTGAGGAAGCTACAATTCATTTCCCCCTCAGTCATGAGGGGTGCAAACGATGACTGACATTTCAGTCAGGTGGTCACGAGCCATTTAATCACCCCAGGGTTTTGATTACAGCAGAGAGGGGCAGCCGCTGAAGTGCTCTGCATCACGTCCACGTCAATCACGTGGTCTTTAGTGCTTAGGCAAAGCATGCGTGATTACTGGTCTTTATTTCGTGCAATTTAAAAATGTATGCTCAGCTTTACTTTAGTATGTGATGTTACATTTTAGAAAGCGCACGCTGTGCACTGAGTTGTTTTGAGACTGAATGGAAGGAAGACACAAATGGAAGGCAGGGGAAATTTCAGGGTGTTGTAGTGGCCTAGGCAAGATGTAATGAGGCCCCACACCAAGACACCAGAGAGGGACATGGATGAAGTAGAGGGAAGGAGCCAAGCGATACATCGGACAAACAGATGTTAGAACATGCTGATCCACTACATGTAGCAGGGATGGGGGCGGTTCCCCAAACGGTCTGGCCGTTGGGTACATGCTTCCGGCATTTACTGTGGCAAGAAATGTAGGTAAGGGAGAAATGAGAGGGACAGGAAGAGGGCTTCAGTTTGAGACACTGATTTTCGGGGTTTGTGGAACATGGAAGAGATGATGTCTACGATACAGTTGTCTATACAAGCCTAGGGCTTAGGGGAGAGGACTGGGGCACAGTTGTAGATATTAGGCAATGAACAGATGCTTTGGAGATCTTAAAACAGAAGCCACGTCCATTAAACTTGATACATTCCTGGCGGCAGCAAGAGGCTAGATTAACTGGCGTTAGTAGCCATCTGGCTTGGGTGCTGCAGTGCTGTTATATGAATAGTGCCCTTTCATGTCTGTATGTAATCACTTATGCGTCCGAGTGATGAAACACTAAAGAACTTTTAATATAGATTTTATTTTTAAACCTTACATGCTCCTCATATTAAATTTGTAGAATACAGAAAAGAAGAAATAAGAAATTATTGCCATCCTTAGTATTACAATATAGATACAAGCTATTGAAATTTTGGTTTATTTCCCTCACAAACACACACATACAAATATATACACGCACTCATGTACACACAAACATGCATAGTTAAGATAATATTATATATAATTTTGTATCTTGCCTTTTTCACTTCATATTATTTGAAATTTTCTTAAATAGTTTCTTTGGCTAGTCAATGAAATGGACGTGCTGTAATTCAGTTAGCCACGCTTTATTATTAACCATTTGGATTATTAATGGGTTTTTTCTTTTCTTGTTATAACAATGCTATGAGGAGTATCTTTATATGTGAATCTTAGTACATTTCCTATTATTTCCTTTATATAGCTTTTCTTTTCTTTATTGAACACTCTACTATGAAATATTTTAAGTATGTAGAGAAATACCGACTATATAATGCATACAAAGTATATAACATACAAAAACTTCTCCCTGTCCAGACTGGCCAAATCTTCATATTTTGCCACATTTGCTTCAAGTTCTTTTGTTTTCTCCCAAACAGAAATGAACTGTTCAAGACACAGGTGAAGTCCCACATGCTCCTATCATTGATCCCATGCCCTGTTCCCCGTCCCAGAGGAAACTGCTAATGAGATTTCTGGTTTGTGATTCCCATGAAGGTTTTTATAGTTTTTTCATTATATGCATATATCCATACACACTATGAAATATTATTTTGCATATTTTAAGACTTTATGTACATCATGTCACACGCTACATATCCTTCTTCAACTTGCTCTATTCACTCATTATTCTGTTTTTCACATTTTCTGCATTGTAATGCATACAGATCTAATGCATTCTTTTAGTCACTACACATTCTATTTTATATATGCACCACAAGTCATTTGCCCATTCTCCTGTTAATGAACATTTAAGTTGCTTGCAATATTTTTCCTTAGCAACTTTTTGTACCGAATATTCTTGAAGCAATATCTGTATGTAACCACCTAAGACTTTCTCTAGTGTAAACCTGCAGAAGTGGAATTGCTAGCTTTTAACTTTTCTGTATGTTAAATTTCGTTAGAAATTTATATATGAGGCCGGGCACAGTGGCTCATGCCTGTAATCCCAGCACTTTGGGAGGCTGAGGTGGATGGATTGCTTGAGGTCAGGAGTTCGAAAATAGCCTGGCCAACATGGAGAAAACCTGTCCCTACTACAAATACAAAAAATTAGCTGGGCGTGGTGGTGTGTACCTGTAATCCCAGCTGCTTGGGAGGCTGAGGCAGGAGAATCACTTGAACCTGGAAGGCAGAGGTTGCAGTGAGCACCACTGCACTCCAACCTGGGTGACAGAGTGAGACTCTGTCTCAAAAAAAAAAAAAAAAGAAAAAAAAGAAAAGAAAAGAAAAAAGAAATGTATATATGAGAATTTCTGGAACGAAATGAGAAAAACTTACCTTCATACTTGTAATCAGTTTCCACAAAACTTTCAATACATTGTCTTATTTGATCTTTACAATAACCTTATGAGGCTGCAAGGGGAGTTTACCTACCCTCATTTTTAGATGAGGTCTCTGAGGTGGTTACTGCAAAGAGCAGTACAGCATGTGACTTGAATACAGCACTGGACAGCCTCATTCTTCGGAAGCCTTTGTTCTTCATTCCACACCCGCAGACTTACCCCAGAACTTACCAGCTTAAGACAACAACATTTACAGTTTCCGTGGGTCAGGAAGCCAGGTGCCACTCACCTGCATGCTTCCTGGCTCACTCATGTGAATGTACACAGGGTTCAGTTCCTTGCAGGCTGTTGGCTGAGGCCTCCCTTGACTCCCTGCCACACAGGCCTCTCCACGGAGTATCTCAGAACACGGCACCTTGCTCACCAGGGCAAGCAATAGAGAGGACAAGAGAGAGTCCAACAAGACAGAAAGTGCTAGCAAGAGGGCAGGAACCATCTTTTCTCACCTCATTATGGAGGTGACAGACTATCACTTCCATTGTATTCTGTTAATTAGAACCAATCACGAGGTCTATCCCATACGCCAGGGAGGAGATTACACAGAGGCATGAATACCAGGACGTGGGGCTCACTGAGAGCTGGGTCAGAAGTTGCCTACCACCCCCCACCCCTACAATCTCCAGTTGGAAAATTTTCACTTCTTATCTCTCCCACTCCTACCTACCCATATTTCTGGACAACCCCCACCCCACCCCTTGGTTCTCTTTTCTTTTTTGCCTCCATAGCTTTCTAATTCCCTACTTCATTTCTTACACAGCAATTTAGCTCCCACTTTGTCTCACTTTGATACTAGAGGCTAACATCTATCACATGCTTACTACATGCCAGCCACTCTCCTAAGTATTGTATCTTTTAACTTATTCTTGTGAACAGTATGAGCTATATATTCATATTAATCCAATTTTGCAGATTAAGAAATTTAGCAACAGATGAGAAAGCAAAGAGAAGGGGGCAACTTGTCCCCAACAACATAAAATAACACCTCCCCTACTATACTCATGTTCTGAGAGCCTATGAAGATATTTTCGTCAATAAAGATTGCTTTTCCGGCCGGGCGCCATGGCTCACGCCTGTAATCCCAGCACTTTGGGAGGCTGAGGCGGGCGGATCACGAGGTCAGGAGATGGAGACCATCCTGGCTAACACGGTGAAACCTTGTCTCTACTGAAAATACAAAAAAATTAGCCAGGCGTAGTGGCGGGCGCCTGTAGTCCCAGCTACTCAGGAGGCTGAGGCAGGAGAATGGCGTG
This sequence comes from Homo sapiens, assembly GCF_000001405.40. Classification (NCBI taxonomy): domain Eukaryota; kingdom Metazoa; phylum Chordata; class Mammalia; order Primates; family Hominidae; genus Homo; species Homo sapiens. Next base: position 16,961,809 of record NC_000010.11, on the reverse strand, counting down.
AACCCGGGAGGCGGAGGTTGCAGTGAGTCGAGATCCCGCCACTGCACTCCAGCCTGGGCCACAGAGCGAGACTCCGTCTCAAAAAAAAAAAAAAAAAAAAAAAAAGGGATTGCTTTTCCCTCTAAAAGGAATCCTGCCACCAACTTTTAAATAATGCAACATGCTTTTAAATAATGCTTATTTATAAGACAAAGGTGTGTATGAGAATTAAAAAGTTCCCTTTGCTTGGCTTCTTTATTTTCCCACATTACCGTTCTTTAGAACTATGATCACAGGCCTCCAGAACTAGAAATGCCACCAGGAAGGGATGTTGGTCTCACACTTGAATGGTTTTCCTCCTGTGTCACTTGACATGTGACAAAGTTGAACACATGTTAACTTTAGAAATGATGGACATTTATGCAAATCTCCTCAAGGTATCGAAGCATCAGGTATGAAAATTAAGGCCGGGCACTGTGGCTCATGCCTATAATCCCAGCACTTTGGGAGGCTGAGGTGGCAGGATCGCTTGAGCCAGGAGTTCCACACTAGGCAATACAGCAAAATCCCCTCTCTACAAAACATTTAAAAATTAGCCAAGTGTGGTGGTGCACACCTGTAGTCCCAGCTATTTGGGAGGCTGAGGTGGGAGGATCCCTTGAGCCCAGGAGGTCAAGGCTGCAGTGAGCTGTCACACCACTGTATGCCAGCCTGGGTGACAGGGTAAGACCCTGACTACAAAAATAACAATTATAATACTAATTAAAAGAAATTTCATAAATGTTTGGCTTAGTTCTCACTTCTGGCTAGAGCTGAGGATGTGGAGGGGACTTGATAGCACCATAATATATCATGTGTTCAGAATACTCTGGGCCTTGGGGACGGGTCCAATGTCCTCTGCCCACATTCTGCCTCTGCCTTCTCTCACCCTGTTGGTGAAGGGCCCCTGGGAGCGGAGTGCATGACATTGGCTGTGCCCTGTGGTTGGGCCCCTTCATTCTCCTTCAGACCTGGCATATAGGAAGCCTGCCCAGAAAGCAGCCGAGCTGACCTCCGTCCCCCTGTGACTAACCTCTTACCCACAATTGTGTCTACTATGTGTTTACAGCATTGAATCTATGAGGGCAAGGACAGCTGTTTCTTAACTCAGGGTTTTCCTCAACCCTAGTTCTCAATTTTTAGAGACCAGCAACTGTCATACATATTCATTTATTCATTTGTTCATCAAACATTTATTGCCTGTATGTGCCAGGTTCTGTACTTTTTAAAAAGTCTCCTATTTTTATATAATAAAGTTAAGCTTTTTGTTTTTGTGGGGGTTTTTTGTTTGTTTTGTTTTGAGATGGAGTCTTATTCTGTCACCCAGGCTGGAGTACAGTGGCACCATCTCCACTCATTGTAGCCTCTGCCTCCTGGGTTCAAGCAATTCTCGTGCCTCAGCCTCCCAGGTAGCTGGGATTACAGGCACACGTCACTACGCCTGGCTAATTTTTGTATTTTTAATAGAGATGGGGTTTCACCATGTTGGCCAGACTGGTCTCAAACTCCTGACCTCAGGTGATCCACCTGCCTCGGTCTCCCAAAGTGCTGGGATTACAGGCGTGAGCCACTGCACCCGGCCTCATATGTATTTTGAATATGTGTGTTAGTATCTTGGCATTTTATAAAATTCTGGATATTTTACAAAAAGACTGGTCAACTTTTCTGTAGAAATTAAATGACCACTCCATTAGATCTGCCTCTGTTTTAAGAGCTTCGGCAGTTAGAATTCTCTGGGGGACAGTGGCCACTTTTTATTTTGTGGCTTCAACTTCAAATTTTTATTTTATTACTATCATCTAGAAATGAATTAGTTGACATGTACAAAGTTTTATTTTGTTTGTATATTGCCCTGACTTTTACCACTTAAGTAACGATCAGAAAATCAATGCTGAGGCCTAGCAAACTCTTGGCAGTAGACTTAAGTAAGAATTATATGTTATATTAATATATGTGTATCCAATAGTAATATCATTTGCTAGCTTTGCCTTGGGAACTAAATGGAAGTTAAGGTGAAATTCATATCGATAATTTTTATGACTTTAGAATTGTAAATGAATGGGAGCAAGGTTTCTCATATTTTCTTCCTTGAAGTGCTTTTCTTGTGGAATTTTATAAATTGAAACTTTAAATGTGAGTTGTTTTTTGTCTTTTTTTTTTTTTGAGACGGAGTTTTGCTCTTGTTGCCCAGGCTGGAGTGCAGTGGCACTATCTCAGCTCACCACAACCTCTGCCTCCTGGGTTCAAGTGATTCTCCTGCCTCAGCCTCCTGAGTAGCTGGGATTACAGGCATGTGCCACTACATCTGGCTAATTTTGTATTTTTAGTAGAGATGGAGCTTCTCCATGCTGGTCAGGCTGGTCTTGAACTCCCGACTTCAGGTGATCTGCCCACCTCAGCTTCCCAAAGTCTGGGATTACAGGCGTGAACCACCACACGAAGCCTGAGAATAATGATTTGATATTATAAGTGTTAAAAACACTCAAATGAAAGAATTTATATTTCAAAATCTGTTAAAAATATTCTCCCTCCTTGATAGCCTGAGGTTTCAAAATTTCATAAAATGACAATTAGGTACATAAAACTTAATAACTATAATGCTACGGTTTGAATGTGTCCCCTCCAAGTTCATGTGCTGGAAGCTTAATACCTCCTCTAGTGTCAGGAGGTATGGCCTTTGGGTGGTGTTCAGGTACTGAAAGCCTTGCCATCATGAATGGATTAATGTTGCTATAAAAAGGGCTTGCAACAACAGGTTCTCTCTCTTCTGCACTTCTGCCACTTGGTGACATGATGTTCCTCCCCACAAGAGGATGCACCATTCAAGGTACCACCTTGAAGCAGAGAGACCCGGCTGTAACTTGCTGGCAGCTTGTTCTTGGACTTCCCAGCCTTCTGAACTGTTAGAAATAAATTTCTGCTCTTTATAAATCACCTGGCCTCAGGTATTCTATGGTATCACAAAGAAGCAGACTGAGGTGTGTCATGAGCATTTTAAAGAGAAGTAACATGGTAAATCTAGAATTTGGAGAGAGAAGACGCTGCTACTCACTAGTGATGTGAACTTGGATGACTTACTAGCCTACATTGAATGAGACAGTAGTTTAATAGCTTAGCACTTGCCTCCCTGTCTTTATTTTTATAGAAAATCACACAGGTTAGGATGTTTGTGATGGAGCTTGTAAAATTATAACATGCTCATCACATTTGGGGTGTCATTGGTATATAATTTGAATTCCGGGACACATGAAAACCTTCTTTTTATTGAGATGGAGTCTCACTCTGTCACCCATGATGGAGTGCAGTGGTGCAATCGCAGCTCACTGCAACCTCTGCCTCCTGGGTTGAAGCAAATCTCATGCCTCAGCCTCCTGAGTAGCTGGGATTACAGGTGCCCACCACCATGCCTGGCTAATTGTTTTTTGTATTTTTAGTAGAGACATGGTTTTGTCATGTTGGCCAGGCTGGTCTTGAGAAAACCTTCTATTTTTGATCCATTCCTTGTGAAGTATTACTTCAGCCAGATGAATTTTAGCAGAGGTCTTGTAATTCCAGGACCTCAGGGGCTGGGGGTAGGGGAAATAGCTGGGAAGTCTGTAAAGCTTCTAGGTGTGCCCCTTTCAAAGGACCCCCAAGGAAATGGGTGATTCGGGTGATTTTCTGAAGATTTCAGCCTTAATATTTTAGTTTACTTTTGTTCCCCTTATTTCCTCTTGTCCCTTGAGAGGATTCCAACCACTCAGACTGAAAACAAGGACTGTGAGAGGGAAGAAACAATATGTACTTATTCCTTGGACCTTTGAATTTCGGAGAAAATTTTTTTAAAACCAGAAGAGTCTTATTTTGTGAGTCCATGGACTTGCAAAATCTTAGAGTTTTTTCTTTTTTTTTTTTTTGAGAAGTCTATAAACACCATAGAACCCATTGTTCCACTAGTTTAAAAAATTAAGAAATGCTAGACACTTAGGTTGATTCCATATTTTGGCTATTGTGACTAGTGCTTCAGTTAACAAGGAAATGCAGATATATTCAACATACTTATTTAATTTCCTTTGTCTGCTTATCCCAGGAGTGAGACTGTTGGATCATATGGTAGCTCTATTTTTGATTTTTTGAGAAATGTCCATACTGTTTTTCATAATGGCTGTATCAATTTACATTCCCATCAATAGTGTGTAAAGGTTCCCTTTTCCCCACATCCACACCAGCCCTTATTATTTTCTAATTGGGATTAAGTGGTATTTCACTGTGGCTTTGATTTGGATTTCACTGGTGATTAGTGATGTTGAGCATTTTTTCATTTACCTGTTGGTCATTTGTATGTCTTCTCTTGAAGACAAAAAGACTTATCAATGGATGAATGGATTTTTAAAATGTGATATATATAAACAATGGGATGGTACTTAGCAATAGAAATGAACACAATCCTGTCATTTGTGGCATCATGGATGAGCCTGAAGGACTTTATGTTCATGGAAATAAGCCAGGCACAGAAAGATAAATATTGCATGATGTCACTCATTTGTGGAGTGTAAAAATGCTGATCTCGCACAAGTACAGGGTAGAATAGTGGTTACCAGAGGCTGGGGACGGTAGCAGGGAGGAAATTATGGGGAGATATTTGTCAAAGGGTATACAATTACAGTTAGGTAAGAGGAATAAGTTCTGATGTTCTATAACACAGTAGGGCACCCACAGTAAACAATATTCTGGTTTATAAATATTATAGTGTGTTAAAAGTAACTAGAAGAGAGGATTCTTAATGGTCTCACCACAAATAAATGATAAATGTTTGAATTGATGGACATGCTGAATACCATGATTTGATAATTACACAATGTATATGTGTATTGAAACATCACACTATCCCTCATACATGTGTTCAATTATTATGCATCACTTAAAACCAAAATAAAAAATAAATATAAACTGTATATATTCATAAAATTGAATCTTAAACTTTTATAAAAATGAAAAAATGCTATTCTAAACAAATAAATGAATAAATTATCTTGAGAGAAGTAAATAGTCTGTGCCTTAAGATTCAATTGGTGTATTCTCCATACTCTGTAACCACAGATGTTCTAAGAAGGTATTCATTATCCTTTGATATTAAAACTAAGACAGTATTAATAGAATATTACTACAAGCTTAGGACACTGTATCTATAACCTTAGGACAGCATAAAACCAAGTATAGAGATAATAAAGACTTGAATTAAACCAATGGTGGTGATATTTGAGAGTAGACTCAAGTATGAATGTAGTAAGAGGTTTTGTAGTGATGGTTTAAATGTCATTTTGTCTACTGTTTACAGTGTTCAACGTGTTCAAAGGAAGGATTCATACTAGATTGGAAATTATAATTTGAATTGGTTAGAAAAATGGAATTTAGTTTTTAATCAATCTTTGTTGAATGAAAATCAGTCATCAGGTTTCATTTATTGGAGATATATATATATATATTTAAATTTTGAACATTAAATAATAAAAAAGAAAAGATTTGCTGCTCCAGAACAGACCCACATTTGTTTTAAACTTATTATTGTAAGAGCTTTAGCTCCTCAGAAAGTTAAAAATCCTATTGATATTTGATTCATGGGCTTGTATAAGCCAAACTGAGAATATCCTGCCAATCATACCTGTGGCTAAAGAGAACATGCAGAATCATACCTGTGTGCTAAACAGAACACTGATTATAATCATCACCAGATTTTTAAAGTCACTTGCGAGTAACTTCCTTACATTGAATCTCCGAACTTTCTATTTTTTTCCCCAAGATTTTCTTATGAAATATAAATGGCAATTTGTTTTTAATGAAATGGCCATATTTTACCTTCATACTTTCAGTCACATTCTAATGGTTGGCAGGTTGATGCATGCGTCCTGCTCAGTTGATACCTTGCAGTGAACAAGAGGAAAGGGTTTCAATTCTGGACTCTGGAATCTAGTGGTCTGATTCAACGTGACCTGCTCCCTCTTAGGAATTGTGTGACTTGGGCCCATTACTTAGGCTCTCTGTGCCTCTGTTGTCCTGTTCTTAAAAACAGAAAGAAATTTGGGAGGATAAAATGGGACAGTGTACGTGAAGGGCTGAATCCAGTTCCTGGCACATAGTAAGCACTAATGAATGGGAGTTATTATTAATCATCCAAGCAAAGGAACTCATTTCCCCCCTGATTTACACATAAGAGTATTCAAAAATTCATCCAGACACTGAGTTCCAAGCAAATTAGTAAGCTTCAAATTTTACAAATCAATACAGAGATTTCAGGTATATGTGACATAGATTCCATTTCATTACATGCCTGGAGGGTCAGCTAGGTCCCAGCATGGCACTAGGCAAGACAGAGACCAACAGTTAAAAAGAGAGAGGTAATTTTCTTTTCCTTTTTTTTTTTTTTTTTTTTTTTTTTTTGAGACAGAATCTCGCTCTCTGTTGCCCAGGCTGGAGTGCAGTGGTGGGATCTCAGCTCACTGCAACCTCCGCCTCCCAGGTTCAAGCAATTCTCCTGCCTCAGCCTCCTGAGTAGCTTTGACTACAGGTGCACACCACCACACCTGGCTAATTTGTGTATTTTTTATTAGAGACGGGGGTCTCGCCATGTTGGCCAGGCTGGTCTTGAACTCCTGACCTCAGGTGATCCACCCGCCTCAGCCTCCCAAAGTGCTGGGATTGTAGATGTGAGCCACCATGCACGGGCAAAAAGAGAGAGAGGTAGTTTTCTAAATCAGCCTTATATCACCCCTATCGTTTGAAAAGAATTCTGCCATTTCTCTTCTCTTGAGCATTACCCTATCACGAAACTTATGAAGAACAAACAGGTCCAACAAATGTTGGGATTCTGACAACAAATGCTCATCACTCATCATTATTTCTCGTCTGTTTTCTCATGTGTCTATTCTTGCATTACACATTTCCAGCACATGTTGTGGGCATGGCCTGTGAGGTGACTACACTGGGGTTGGGAAGGAAGGGGAGTGTGGAAGGGACGGCATTTATGAAGATATCAAGAAATCTAATAGTGGCTCTGACAGAGGAAGTCCTGCTGAAATTCACGTCAGCATCCCTAGAAATGACCAAAGACTTGTTACAGCTGTGAGAAAGGACAATAAAGCCAGTTTCCCTAGATCCAGCAAACGTGTGATTATCCACTAGTATATCGGCGTGCAGACAGTTCGTGGAATACAGGCCTTCTAGATGTGAATCTGAACCACTGTTTGCCCTGTCTCCTTTCTTGTAGGCATACGATGGCTTAAGCTCCACAATGTCCCGCCTTGCCAGGACGTGTGGAAGGGAGCAGCTGGCTAACCCCATCGTCTCCTCAGGAAACAGCCTCTTCTTGAGATTTCAGTCTGGCCCTTCCAGACAGAACAGAGGCTTCCGAGCTCAATTCAGGCAAGGCAAGTACCCTGTGGATCTTCCCAGGCACAAGAGAAATCTTCAGTGCTCTGTTTGGTGCAACAGTGAAATGAGACCTGTGCTCAGAAATTGATCACAGCCTTCTACTTAACATGTAAAAAATTAAATAGAACAAAAGAACTGTGACTTACAATTATCCCAACTCCTGATGCTTGTAACCTTCTCCTTCTCTGACTTCCTTTGGACCCGCATCTCTAACAAGTTTAAAAGTGCTTTTAAGACTAGAAACAGTATAAAAAAGTTTTATCCAAATTCACTGATCTAGCACTACCCAAGGCTTTACACTAGAATGGGATACACTGCTATCAATTACAAGACTTGCTTGTAATGTATTCAGATGCCAGCCCCTGGAAGCAGTGGTTTCCCTCATTTCTGAATCCTGCCATTGTCCAACTGAGGAGTCACTGTTGTTTTCCATTTATTTTTCTTTCTTTGTTCCCTCCCTTCCTCCCCTCTTCTTCCCCTTCCTCTCCTCCCCTTCCTTTTCCTCATCTCTCTTTCCCTCCCCTTCCCTTTCTTTCCACAGGGTCTCTCTCTGTCACCCAGGCTGGAGTGCAGTGGTGCAATCACGGCTCACTGAAGCCTCGACCTCCCAGGCTCAGGCAATCCTCCCACCTCAGCCTCCTGAGTAGCTGGGACTATAGGTGCACCCCCACGCCTGGCTATTTTTTTTCTTTTTTAGAGATGGGATCTGCTCTGTTGCCCGGGCTGGTCTCAAACTCCTGGCCTCAAGTGATTCTCCTGTCTTAGCCTCCCACCATACCTGGCCATTTTTGTTCTTAAATCACCACTTCTCCAAGACCTTTTTACCCATTGCCTTTCATCTGCTCGTTCTAAGAGATGAACCCCTTATCCCATAGTCAGAGATGACTTGTATTCAGATGACTCAGAACATTCACTACAAATACATTTAGTCTGTGTAGTCATTATGTCTATCTTAGTCAACTCGCTTATATTCTGTAGTAAAGAGCTCTGGATGGGGACAGTGCCTGGATCGAGGTCTCCCAAATACGCACCATAGACCTTTAGACTTTGGAGCAAGACAGACTATATTCTTGTTGATTTTAAAGAAAAACTAGTTTCCTAATAGTTCTTTTGCATGTTATTATTCACTTGTTTGTTGCTTCATAGTAAAAAGTCCCTGCTAGCTTTCATCCGGACTGTAACAACCTCCTGAAAGTCACCTACCCTTACCCCATCTCTCTCCAAAGTCGCCTGTAAAAGCCCTGCTCTGATCATGCCATTGGAATGCTCAATGTCTGTCCCGTCTCCACCTGGCCTGGAGAATAAAGCTCAAGCTCCTGCAGATGTTAACCAAGAGCCCCAGAACCCACCCTGACCTCTCTCCAGCGTCAGTCACCCACATCCCTGGGGCACCCCATGCTCCAGCTGAGCCTCTATAGATGCTCCTCTGTGTCTGCTCAGGCAGTCCCCTCCCTGGCCTCCCTTTTCTCACCCTCCAAGTCCTAGTTTAGCCTCGGCCTCCTCCTCAGCAAGACTCCTCTTACGCCCTCCAGCGGTGACCGCCTCTCCCTCTTCAAGACTCACATCGAATTTTGCTCTTCTCTAGTAATCTACAGTCATCCTTATGAAGCCTTATTCAATTGAGTATTTATTTTCCTGAAAAAAAGAGGTCATTTATAAGCAGATTATCCCTATGCCTATGATTTATGAGTGGGCAGTGTAAGTGAATCCATGCAAGAATTTTGTTTGAATGACTTAGGCAATTCATAGACATTTAATCTGTTGCTTTTTGCCACTTCCTACTTCCTGTAGTTGAAGAATAATTGTTAAAAATATAAACTGTGCTCCTGTTTTCTCATGGTTTATGTACAGCTCTCCTTATGGAGAACTTTCTTGGCGTGCATTTTAGAAATAAGAAGAAAAATCATTGATGGTTTTATTCATCAAATAATTGTTTTGTACGGTCAGTAGAAATGAAAAGCATATGACATGTATGTGTGTTTGTGTGTTCCCCAGCCTGCGGAGGCCACATCCTCACCAGCTCATTTGATACTGTTTCCTCTCCACGGTTCCCTGCCAATTATCCAAACAATCAGAACTGCAGCTGGATCATTCAAGCGCAACCTCCATGTAAGTAACAAAAATGAAAAAGAAAAGGCACACAGGAGAGAAGGTGTCTGTGGGAAGGTCAGTCTATGAGTAACCTTCTTATCTCAGTGCTAACAATCGATGGCCTTCCTCTTCATCTTTTGCAAGTCCCAATTCCTGATGTGCTTAAGAACAAGCATTTCCTAATCTGATAGGGAAGTCATTTCTACAGTTGCTTCTAAATTTAAAAACAATTTCTTTTTTTTCATGTCAAGGCCTAGCAAAGGTTAAAAAACACACACACGCACAACAACACAACACACCTACAACCTTGCTGTATTAACAGGCGTATGCAGGCGTATGAGATTGGGGGTAAACCAAAATAATCGATAAATAGTTTTTGACATGTGTGCCTTGAGTATAGCTGATGTTCAAGACAGTTGCTGAGTGAACAAATGAAGAAGAGTCACAGACTGGAGAATCAGTGACTCACGGGCCAGAATGCAATGCGCGCACCTATCCATCAAAGCAAACATTCATAAAACCTGGGCTCTCCTGCAAGGTACTATTCCAGCACAGGCCTAGAAGAAACATTGAATAAACGCTTACTTTCTTTTCTTTTTTGGAACCCTAGAATCTTATTTTCTGACCTGGTAACAGTCCGATGGTAAGGACTTCTGTCCTCATTTTACAGACAGAGAACATCAGGAAATGCCCCTCAAGGACATGACAGAATGGCTGCAAAGCGGGTGATGCTGGGGCCCTTCTGAATCCTGTTTCAGAGGAGCCCTGCCCTCCTTTGAGGTTTGCAGGAAAATACAGTTTCAGGCATAATGTAGGAAAGTCTTTAAGTTCTTCACTCTGCACAGTAATTAATCGCCTGTGTGAAAATAGGGAAGTCACTTAAGCTAATCAGGCCATGAAAAAGTAATCTGCAAAATGAAGAGTTTGGCTTAAATATTCTCTAGCACTTTCCCCTGGGATGTCAGGAGTTAACAAATTGCTAGTATCTTCATTGACATGCATAAGATGTGGCAGCCGATGATGTCATCCTTAGCCAATTCAAACGGGGAGGTGGAGCCCCAAAGAAAGTTGCCAGCCAGCCAGAAACTGAGCTGTAGATAAAGAAGCCCCCTCCCTTGAACTGAGAAGTTTGTGCCTGAGGATTATTTTCTAATGAGTTGTAAAGCATTTAGATGAAAGATCTCACTGGTTCAAGAACAGCAATAGGAAAAGATCCTATTCTGAAGATTAGGGAGCTTAAAGAACAACAAAAAGAAAATGTATCCAGGTGCTTGCTGTTCTGCAAGTAATTCAAAACTTTCTTGATAAATGTCTCTGAACCTTAGGGCACTAGCTCTAGCCTGAAAATAAAACTGAGTGAGCTAAAATGTGGGCTCCAGGGAGAAAAGAATGCCTTATTTACAAGCACATGCAAAGAATCCGAATTTAAGGAAATGAGTCTATTGAGAAAAATGCTTCTGCGAGGAACACAGCAATGGTGATATAAAAACTGGAAAGACGGCATTTTCCAACAAGATATTCCCTTATAGTGCCTGGAATGAACCTACCCAGGAGTCCTCTTATTTACCACTGCCAGTGTTTCAGATGCCACAGGCAGTTTCAAAAGCATCTATTCCGTTACTCTTCAAAGGAAACCATCTATTCTATTACTCTTCAAAGGAAACCATCTAGGATAGAAGTTGTCCCCTTCCCTTGCTTTATCCCTTCAACCATGTGCAAATCCGCCTCATTCATTACTTCTCTGCTGGAGAACCCTTACATGAAATTACCAGAAGTAAAATTTATCTCCCTGTATGTTTTTTAATTTTAATTTTATTTTGTAAAAAAATTTTATTGTTAATTTTTGTGGGTACATAGTAGATGTATATATGTATGGGGTACATGAGATGTTTTGATACAGGCATGCAATGTGAAATAATCCCATCATGGAAATGGGGTATCCATCCCTTCAAGCATTTATCCTTTGTGTTACAAATAATCCAATTCTACTCTTTTAATTATTTTTAAATGTACAATAAGTTATTATCGACTACAATTACCCTGTTGTGCTATCAAACAGGTCTTACTCATTCCTTCTATTTTTTATAGTCATTAACCATCCCCACCTCCCCGTCTTGCCCCATCTCCCTGTATGTTTTATTTGCCAGTACTTTACGAGAGAGTCTTCTCTTTTTTCTTCCAGTAAATCATATCACCCTCTCTTTTACCCACTTTGAACTTGAAAGAAGCACAACGTGTGCACGTGACTTTGTAGAAATTTTGGATGGCGGCCACGAAGACGCGCCCCTCCGAGGTACCTCAGCGTTCACTCATCTACATCTGTGGTCTTGGCTGTGCTTTATTTATAGATCCGCATATTTATAGGCTGCCATTCTAGGTTGCAATGTTTCCAATAAATAGAAAGAGCAGCCTAAGCCAAATAAAGATGATTAGAGGGTAAGAAAGCAGGCTTGAATGTGGGGTTCAGGGAACTCAGCCTGTTTATTAATATATTCAAACGTGTGAATAGTTTGTGTATATGTTTTAAAACATTTAAAAATTGCAGCTGCTTTAAAGAATAGTGGAATGCAACCCATCCCAGCATTAGGTAGCATTCTATCAGAAATTTCTTGTTAATATTTGACCAAGTTCTTACATTCACATGGAGTATGTTTCTTTCAGCCTTGTCCTTAGTGGAAGCGAAAAAAAAAGCACTTAATTAGATAATTAATTAATTAATTCCATTAAAAATCTGTCTTTTTGTTTGTTAGACATCCCAATAAAATTAAAGAGTGCCGCTATCTAGTTTCTGAAATGCTCTCAGGCAAAACAAACAAACACACACACACTACACACACACACACACACACACACACACACCAGGCCATTTAAGCTTTCTCCGTAAATTTCCTAACTTTTGAATTTTGTTGTAAAAACTTCTCATCCTGCACTAGAAGACAAGGTCTGTCAGAGAGGAGACTGTTTGGCCTGTTGCCTAATTCCCAGTGCCCAGGACAGTGTCTGAGACAATAGTGAACAATCAATGAACTCTCCACACCCTATGCACACCTCTCACAGCATTTGTTAGTAAGCATTTGACCAAGGATAAGGGTATATTATTTAACAAGCTGTTACATAGCAATACCTTGCGCTGAGTACTGTTCTCAGTATGTTATAAATAGTAGGTCAATCCTTGTAATCTTATGAGATAGGTTTCATTATTTTCAATATGCCCCTTTTTCCAAGTGAGGAAACTGAGGCACCAAGCACGTAAGTCACTTGCCTAGGATCACACAACTAGCAAATGGCTGAGCCAGGGGCTGAATCCAGGTAGCCTGGCTCCAGCATCCACACTTTTCTGTGCTACAAAATAGTGGATATTAGTGCATTTATTTGTATGGGTCCGACTGGGCTGGAGATTTTTGCTTTAGGTACATGTGTCCCTTGGTCATCTAAGTTTTTCCTCTGGTCCTATTGTTCTTGATCATGTTTATAAATCACCTCTCCTATATATAGCTCCTATATATAGTTTATTTTAAATCATCAGGTATTGTCTCAAACATTGACCCTGAATGAAGTGGTTCTCCTAGTGGCAATTTCTTCACTTTGTTTTGGTCTCTTGTAATTCGAGTAAAGATGTGTTTCCTAGAAACAGCGGTCTCTGCCATGTTGTCATTCATTCTCCTTGTCATTATCTTCATTATTTAGGCCGTTACTGTGGCACCGACATGCCCCATCCTATCACATCCTTCAGCAGCGCCCTGACGCTGAGATTCGTCTCTGATTCTAGCATCAGTGCTGGGGGTTTCCACACCACGGTCACCGCATCAGTGTCGGGTAAGAAACCCTAGCACCTGACTCTAGCGGTTAAAAGGGATGTGGTAGAAATTCTTGGTTTGTTATTGGGGACTCTGACCTTCGTAGTTGGGAGCCAGTTTCCTGAGATCACCTCTGGGCCAAATCTTACCTTCTTCCCAATTAAGTGATCGTGTTGTCAATTCTAGCAATAATGAACTCTGGAAGTGTGGAGGATTGGTTGGAAATGTAGCTGTCTTTTCAGCTACATGCCATGCTATCAGATGACTTGGTGTTCTTTTGTTGTTTTTGAGATGGAGTCTCACTTGGTCGCCCAGGTTGGAGTGCAATGGCACGGTCTTGGCTCACTGCAACCTCTGCCTCCCCAATTCAAGCGATTCTCCTGCCTCAGCCTCCTGAGTAGCTGGGATTACAGGCACTTGCCACCACACCTGGCTAATTTTTGTATTTTTAGTAGAGACGAGGTTTCACTATGTTGGCCAGACTGGTCTCAAACTCCTGACCTCGTGATCCACCAGCCTCGGCCTCCCAAAGTGGTGGGATTACAGGTGTGAGCCACCTCGCTCACCCTGGTGTTCTTTTTGGCTTGTTTGTTAAGGCAGCCCTAACCTGGGGAGGAGAGGAACGAGGAGCTACCCAGGACTGGGTTTCTTAGCCTCTTAGCCCAGAGAGTGCTGTTGGTCACTGCCATCTTCCTTGTTTTTAGTGGTTAAAAGCTACAGAACACCTAGAAGATTGGTGTGTGCATTTCGGTGCTCTACTGAGAGGGAAAGCAAGCATGCTGCGTTGGGTTCTAGGCCAGGGTTGAATAGAATCCTGGTCACAAAAGCCAAGTGGCTGTAGGATGGTAAACAAGTCTTTTATTCTTCAAAGTTACCGTTCACAGGAAGAAACGGCTTTGAGAAAAGACATTGCAGAAATTCCTTCTAATCCACCACACTGCATGGCCCTTGGTCTTCAGTTTGCAGAATTGTTCCCTTATTTTATATGACATGAATGTTTTAAAATGTGAGATGGAAATACTATCTATTCTTTTACATTGATAATGGCTCTAGCGTTCTTTCTCCTTTATTTTATAGTGTCTGATGCAGTCTTTGCTCTGATACTCACTTTATTTCTATTTTCTTCCAGCTTGTGGTGGAACGTTCTACATGGCTGAAGGCATCTTCAACAGCCCTGGCTACCCAGACATTTATCCCCCTAATGTGGAATGTGTCTGGAACATCGTCAGTTCCCCTGGCAACCGGCTCCAGCTGTCTTTTATGTAAATCCTTTTTTATGGTGTATTGTTTCAGTGCTAATGAATCTGTAGGAAAGAAGTTCTGGTGCTAATAGGATGGGCAACTCATAGTGTACGTGAAATTTAGGAAGTATTTTTCCAAATTTCCTCTGTTTCAGTCATAGTTTGAGTTATAAATAGCATGAAGTTTCTCTCGACCATGGTTCTTGGGTCCTGTCTAACATTTCCAAAAGTACATTCTTGAGTCCTTGGTGAATGAATGAATCTGTGGCGCATTCATGTTCAGAGTACAGGAATCTTATCTTTTTTTTTGGAATTAGACACATTAAGGTTCTTCCAGGGAATCACTAGTATTGTTTATTCCAGCAGAGCCCTCCCATCTCAATTAAGCATTCTTTACGCTTTTATCTTATCCCTACCTCAATCCACCTTTCCTTCTATTTCTGTCAGAAGAATGGTTCTGGGGCTGGGTGTAGTGGCTCATGCCTGTAATCCCGCACTTTGGGAGGCCAAGGCGGGTGGATCACTTGAGATCAAGAGTTCGAGACCAGCCCGGCCAACATGACGAAACCCCGTCTCTACTAAAAATACAAAAATTAGCCAGGAGTGGTGGCGGGCACCTGTAATCCCAGCTGCTTGGGAGGCTGAGGCAGGAGAATGCCCTGAACCTGGGAGGTGGAGGTTGTGGTGCACTGAGATTGAGCCACTGCACTCCAGCTTGGGCAACAGAGTGAGACTCCATCTTAAAAAAAAAAAAAAAAAAAAAAAGGAATGGTTTTGGAAGTTTTTTTAACTTCCAAACTTAAACTTACTTAAACTTTAAACTTAATTTTTTAGAACACTTTCATATTCCTCATTGCACTATAACACTTTTTGAAATGGACTATAAATATGGAATTAGTAGTAGGATCCTATCACATTCTGAGTGGTCTTAGATTAAATTAGACAGCAACAATAATATGTCCTAGAGTAGATGTAAAAAGCACACATTTTAATCAACTGATAGAGAGGTATATGTGACACGTCACACTGATAATGGATGCTTATTATATATTGAGAGATAAGATCCTGGAATTTAAATTGCCGTTTTGAATTGAAATTTATTTACCAGTCTATTTTACATATTACTAGGCTGTGGTTGGGATTGCTAATTCTGTTTTGAAGCGAATATAAGTAACTTATGGTTGAGAGAAGAGGATTGTTTTGAGGACCCTGTCCTGTTTATTTAAAAGTCTTACTTTTCTTCCAAGACTTGCTAATCTGTGCATCAGGAACTGATTAAAAATATGGGACAACTATCCTATTTGTGGACCAAGTTCAAACATCTCAAGTTGCTTTTTTTAATCCATCAATCAGACAGAGCCTCTTCAGGGTATAAGTGGCCTTGTGTTAAAACAAAGACACCCTCTGCATGCCGAAAGGCAATGCAAGTTTAAGCTGCCTCACAGGAAGGAGGTTTTGGTTTGTCTTTTTTTTTTTTTTTTTTTTTTTGGAGACACAGTCTGGCTCTGTTGCCCAGGCTGGAGTGCAATGGAGTGACCTCAGCTCACTGAAACGTCGCCTCCGGGGTTTAAGCTATTCTCCTGCCTCAGCCTCCTGAGTAGCTAGGATTACAGGCACATGCCACCATCCCAGGCTAGTTTTTATATTTTTAGTAGTGATGGAGTTTCACCATGTTGGCCAAGCTGGTCTCGAACTCCCAACTTCAAGTAATTCACCCACCTTGGCCTCCCAAAGTGCTGGGATTACAGGCATGAGCCACCGTGCCTGGCCTGGTTTGTCTTTGTCTTCACTAAGAGCACAGCGTTCTGGATGGGAAGAAATCTATATACTTTATAATGTTTACCAGACATATATTTATTCTTTCACTCAACAGATATTTATTAAGCTCCTAATATGTGCTAGGCATGTAGTTGGCACATGCTACTCTCCTATGAGGTGCCTTCTATATATTGATCAATAAAACACCATCATTGTCCTTAGAATAAAATCCAAAGCCCTTCGCACAGCTTTAGTAGGCCTATCAGAATTGCCAAATAAAATGATTTTTTTTTTTGGTCTTTTCCTGTTTGTCTCTACCACATTCACATTGTTGACTGCTCTCATTCAGTGGTTGCCAGGAACTGAGCTAGGTGTTCAAGACAGATAAGATTTCAGGTCTTGACAAATTACTCATAAGCCAACATTAAGAAGCTATTTAATTAAATTCATTTTATTTCTGTGGGATAATAATAACAAGTTTCTATAAACAAATTTATAGTAATTTCAAATTTCTAGGACTGTGAAGGTTAAAGAAGATGTCAAATTTAAAACGCATACCACACAGCTAGTGCATAGCAAATGTTTGGTGACTTAATTCTCTCAATCTTTACCATTTCTGAAGTATCTTCTGTGATAGCTCACAAATAAATCCAAACGGGCAGCACTAGGCTCTCCTTCCAGAGGATGGGAGATTACACACACAGAAAGCAAGTTTCATCTATTTCAGTGCTTAATAGACATTACATTTTAATTACCATATAGAACATCGTAATGACTCAGCTATTTCCTTTCTCGCCTGTAAGAAGTTAATTTTGATTCCTCTGAGTTACTTGCTTGAGTTTTATTTTTAAAATGGACGTTTTAGGCTGCAAGATGCCTCTTTTTTTGCAGTTGATTAATGAGAAGGCAAGGCCTGTGAGTTATTTCTGCCCTGGTCTAAATTCTATCCAGATGGATGCTTGGAAACATTACCCTGGGGTGTGTGAGAGCGTATGAGAAGCATGTGTATCACATCAAGTTCTAAAACATGGGGCTGGGATTGTGGTGAAACTGAGTAGGGAAGAAGACTGGAGAAATTATGGTTGAATCTGCAACAAAAAGGAACGGGGAGAAATAAAACCTAAAAAGGAGTTTTTTGTAAGACATATATTTAACCATTTATTACCCATAATATGACCAAAAATGTGAATATGGTAAATTGTTTTCTTCTGCTTCTCAGAAAGCAGAAAGGGAAGAAAGGGAGATCATTTTCCTCAGAAGGTAAATTACATGCAGTTGTCTCTAAAATCTTTCTATTCAAAGTGCAGTGCAATCTTTCTGACCAGTTACTTCACCCCTGCGGTTTGGTGGGCAGGGAATTGACAGAAATTGTATTTTATACTTGCAGAGTGCTTTTAGAAAGTGATAGGTCTCAGTTCAAGAATCAGAATGAGATAATAAGAAACAGTGATTGTACTATTTTTGTTCCACATCCTACATTTACTAACAGATCTAAGCCAAAGGGTGTAGTTGCTTATAAAATGTACCAGCCTAAAGCAAAGACTTCCAAGCATAATAAAGCTTTTTTTATAGTTTAATTTAATCCTTCTAGGTATTTGCCTACCACCATGTCCAACGGAATGTCTTTTCTGCCATCTAGCACTGGATTGCAGTAGTCAAGTACTTAGAAAAGACCTTCACTTTGTAATCTTCTGGAGCATCGGACAGAATGCTAATGTGCATGTTGATCATCTAGGATCTTGCTGAAATTCACTTTCTCACTGAGTTGGTTGGTGGGGCCAGATTCCTTGTTTCAAACAAGCTCTCCGGTGATGCCGATGTTGCTGGATTATGCACTTTGCATAGAAAGATTTTAGAGGCAACTTCGTGTAATTTACGTTCTGAGGAAAATGATCTCCCTTTCTTCCCTTTCTGCTTTCTGAGAAGCAGAAGAAAACAATTTTGCGTATTTCACATTGTTGATCATATTATGAGTAATAAAATTGAGCCTGAATGTATACACAAAAGTTGGCAGCCATCCCAAAGATGGATTTAGACCAATTCCTTGCAAAATAAAAAAAAGATTGAAGATAGAAATATTGTGTTATAAATCATCAGATTGTCAAAGGAGACAAATATGTGGTTTGTTTTGTCTGATGTGGATATATCCTGATTTCAATTATCAGTTATAGCTTGCTGTGAAAATTCCATCTAGTCTAGTCCAGATGGTCTATACTGTAGTGACCCACCTTGGTGGGATTCTGAGAGCCACCAGCTTACCACCAGGCTTACTGATTTGGTTAGAGACCTACCAATGCTAGTATCTGGCTTGAGAGCTAGGTTAGAGCAGAGCTGACCAGTTACTTCACCCCTGTGGTCTGGTAGGCAGGGAGTGACCAGAGATGTGCCTGGTATATTGATTAGTGGTAGGGCTTGAGGTGGTCAGAGCCTCCAGGCTGGTTATCTCTAACTATTCTCCTCCATTAGCTGAGATAGAGCCCCAGGGGAGCACTATACTTAGCATAAAGTAAAATCTTGCCATGGATAATGTTGAGCATTAACAGAAAGATACACATGACAGAGAAGTACATTTTTCCTTTCCTTTCCCCTTCCCCTTCCCCTTGCCTTCCGTTCCCCTCCCTTCCCTTCCCTTCCTTTCCCTTCCCCTTCCCCTTCCCCCTTCCCTTCCTTTTCCCTTCCCTTCCCTTCCTTTTCCCTTCCCTTCCCTTCCCTTTTTCCTTTACCCTTTCCCCTTTCCTGTTTGTTCATGCTTTCATTTCATTGGGGTATAAACCTAGAAGTGAAATTGCTGGTTCATATGATAATACTATGTTTAACTTTTTGAGGAACCACCAAACTTTTTTATAGGGATGGACTATTTTACATTCCCGTTAGTAATGCGTAAGAGTTCTAATTTCTCCATATCCTCATCAGCACTTCTTATTTTCTATTTTTAAATAATAGTCTTCCTGGTGGTTTGTAGTGTTATCTCTTTGTGGTTTTGATTTGCATTTCTCTAATGACTAATAATGTTTGAAAATCTTTTCATGTTTTTATTGGCCATTCATAAATCTTCTTTGGAGAAATGTGTATTCGGTTTGTTTTCCATTTTAATTGGGTTATTTGTTTTTAATTTTCGAGTTGCAGGAGTTATTTTATATTCAGGATACTACCTTGGTCATGTGTTTTTATTTTCTTTGGGTATATATTTAGGGGTGGAATTTCTGGGCATTAATTGGATGTACATTTAATTTTATGAGAAACTCCCAAATAATTATTCAAAGTGGCTATGTCAGTATGCAGTCCCACGAGGAATATATAAGACTTCAGTTGCTTTGCACGCTTGTCAACAATTGATCTTGTCAGCCTTTTAATTTTAGCCCTTATGATGGGTGTGGAATGATATCTGACTGTGGTATTTAAGTTGCATTGCTCTGATGACTAATCATGCAGAGTACTTTTCACATTCTTGGTAGCCATTTTCTTGTCTTCTTTTATGAATATCTGTTCAAGCCCTTTGTCCACTTTTAATTTGGTTGTTTTTTCATTATCTGTAGGAATTCCTTTTATATTTCAACTTTGAGTCCCTTGCTAGATAAATGCTTTACGATTATCTCCCATTTCCCCACCCCGGTCTGTAACTTGCCTTTTCATTTTTTTAAATATATATATATTTTCTGGACAGAGTCTCACTCTGTTGCATAGGCTGGAGTGAGTGGCACGATCACCCCTCACTTCAGCCTCTATCTCCCAGGCTTAAGCCATCTTCCTGCCTCAGCCTCCCAAGTAGCTGGGATTATAGGCACAGGCCACCACACATAGCTACATTTTATTTTTTGTAGAGAGGGGGTTTCACTGTGTTGCTCAGGCTGGTCTCAAACTCCTGGGTTCAAGTGATCCTCCCACCTCAGCCTCCCAAAGTGCTGAGATTATGGTTGTGAGCTACCACACGCAGCCTATTCATTTTCTTATTCATGTCTTTAATGAAATGTTTATTTATGAATTCAAATTTATTAATTTTTTATCTTGTGGTTAGTGCTTTTTGCATTCTATGTAAGAAATATTTGCCCATCCCAAGGTCACAAAGATTTTTCTCCGTGTTTTCTTCTAGGATCTTTATGTTTCTAGCCTTTATATTTACATCCTTGAGAAATATTAAGTTAGTTTCTGTGTACGAAGATAGGCAGAGGTAGAGGTTCTTTTTTTCCTCTCTCTCCATAAGGATATCCGTTATTGCATCACCATTTGTTAAAATGAGTTTTCCCCTTGATTTGTCTTGGCACCATGGATTGAATTGGATTGACAGTGTATTTGTGGGTCCCCTTCTGGAAATTCTTTCCTATTCCATTCATCCATTTGTCTACCCTTACACCAATACCACTTTATCTTGAGTAGCTCATGTTTTTAAGCAGTAAGGCCAAGTTTTGAAAGTACTCAACTAGCACCTACATGTTCCAGACTCTTTAGATATGTTACCTATGAACATCATATGAGGTAGATACTATTTCCTATCCTCGACTCCCCAACACATCGTAGTTGCAGAATATAAGACAAGTTGAATAGGTCACATTCAAGCACCAGCGGGTGTTGTTACAAATCCCATAATTTTGCTGCCTCTCCAGAAATTAAGTACATACACCTTTGCAGCGCATTTAAGTGCCACCTAAATGATCCCATCATATTGCCCCAGTTACATGTTTTAATGGTTTCTTTTTTTTTATTATTTACCTTCAGCCAACCCACACCATGTCTTAGAGGTACTCAGTGTTTTAAACAAACCAGGTATCTCGTGGTTTTCTGAATATGTCCCGCCCTTCTCTGCACATGTGCCTTGGTGGCATGCTTCTTTGCCCACCATCTATAGTGCTTACATCCAGCTCACATGTATATTTCCATCTCAAAAAGTCTTCCCATCAAGCTATTGCAGAGCACCACAATCAAATATGATGCCTCTGCTTTGCAATTCTTAAACGCCACTTTATAACTCTGATGGCACTCACACTATTCTGCCTTATATATTTTTTTTCTGTATTCTCGTCCAGTTTTGCCCACTAGGAAGAAAACTCCTTGATGGAAGTGTATTCGTCGTCTTTGTAGCTATTGGATACACATTTCAACAAGTCCGAGTGAAAGAAATTTTTTGAGACAGCCAAATAATGTTGTGATCAAAGTTAAAGAAAGTTTAAAAAAGTGAACGGGTTAACCTAGCATGTGATCCGGGAGAATCCCAAAGTCTATTCTCTCAATTTAATCCCTTTAAATATTTTTTTCCCCAAATCAGATCTTTCCAGTTGGAAGACTCTCAGGACTGCAGCAGAGATTTTGTGGAGATCCGTGAAGGAAATGCCACGGGTCACTTGGTGGGACGATACTGTGGAAACTCCTTCCCTCTCAATTATTCTTCCATCGTTGGACATACCCTGTGGGTCAGATTTATCTCAGATGGTTCTGGCAGCGGCACGGGCTTCCAGGCCACATTTATGAAGAGTAAGTTGTTTCTATTTTAGTGATAGCTTCCAGAATATGTCTTACAAACTAGAAATAATAATTTTCTCAGTAATATATTAAGCAAGAACAATCCTAAACTCTACACTATTTTCCTACATTGTCTTTGTGAATTACCTTATAACATATTAGAAAAACTGAATTGCATATGAATGGCTCAATAAGGGCAAGGGAGAGCACTCTCAATGGTTCTATTGTTCTTTTTAAGCTCTAATTTCTACCTAATGTTAAATTAGTTTTTTTCATGACGTTGTGTTAGAGTCTGGTAATATATTATAGTTTGGGTTTGGTGTATTTATATCAAGTGTGTTTCATTTGATTTCATAAACTCTACGTTCTTCACATTTAAGACATTTAGTATTACTTTGGGATTGGCTTAAGTGCTCACATATAACAACAATAGGGGATTCTTCTAATAGTATAAAATGTTAAATATTTTTATTCTCTAGCTCAACTTTTCCATTATTGGCTATTTCATATGTAATTTCAAACTATCAGTTTTTCTTGTAAATTTCTTTAAATGTTCCATTCTTTTGAAAAACAAAGTAAAATAGATAAACCAAAATTAGAGAGTGGGGCTGCTCACCCCACCTTCCCATGTCCCCAAGTCCCCTAGGGGCTCAGAACCCCTTTTCACATGGGAAGTTGTGGCCTCTTTTCACACCATGCAACGTTTTAAGGACCTTTTCTAAGGAAGTGATAGCCCAGAAACCAAAAAGGAGGCAGTATTTCTTTCCCTAGTCAGAAAAGAAATCACAGTCAATTAAAAGTCCATCCTTTTCAACACCCTTTGCCTTTTGTTTTTTTCATTTGATTAAAGAGCAATTCTAAGTGGGTCTGATTTACTACTCTGTCTTCCCTCCTAGTATTTGGCAATGATAATATTGTGGGAACTCATGGGAAAGTCGCCTCTCCTTTCTGGCCTGAAAACTACCCACATAACTCCAATTACCAATGGACAGTAAATGTGAATGCATCTCACGTTGTCCATGGTAGAATCTTGGAGATGGACATAGAAGAAATACAAAACTGCTATTATGACAAATTAAGGGTGAGTTTCCACATGCAATCAATGTTCATAAATATTGGTGAATTGCTATTGGTAAAAATAAATCCAAGGTAACGTCTATTCAAGCATTTGCAAATCATGTGGGATAGTCTGCTCTAAATCATGTTTAGAGCAGACTGCCTCTAGATTACATGGACAAAGGCAATTTCAGTATTGTATTTATTATTTTCCATTTCATATCTAAGGGGTTTTTTAGGATTATTATAATTTTCCTGTTGAGCTTTGTCTAAGCATGCATGTATGTCCTAAATAAGTATTTATTCTGTCTTATTTCCTACTATCCTCTTTGTTTTTATGTTAGAGTATTAAAAATTTTAATGATCATATAAAAATAAATATAAATATAAAAATCATGGTGATCATTGCTATCCAGACATTGGCTACCATATCAGTTCCAGAAACACAATCGGATGCTTACAGGCTATGACCCCACCTTATTCATCTTGGATTCTTGGTCATGAATAGATCCCAGTGCCTGATGGGTGCCCAATATGTATGGGAATGACTATTACATAATTTGTTTGGTAGAGTATTTTATAATAACTGTTCATATGAATTTGTCCTGAGCTATTTAAAAATTATCACAGAATATGCCTCAAAATAGGTAATTTGAGATTTTAAAACCAAAGGTAGGAGATTTACTAAGTGCTTTGAACATGGTGAGCCCTACAAGTTTTGGCTATTTTGTTGTCATTAATTCTTCTTTCCTTCTGTGGAAATATGGACTCCTTTAGGATACCTGTCCACTTTCTCTCATTAAAGCTTTTCTCTTCTTGTTATTTTCCCTTCTTTCTTCCTAATTCCTCCCTTTGAAGCCCCAAAGCACATTTATTAAGTACTGTTGGTAGGCAACCATCCTGGTTCCTATTTTTCCATCCACAAATTTTACTGTAAATCATCTTATGAGTGATTCCCACAGTGCATGTTTATTAATATAATTCTGCAACAAAGATGCAAATGTTTTCAAAACATTAAATTACCTTCAATAATATTTTATATTCTCTGGCAGTATGTGTTTTAAGCTAAAATTAAATGTTTACTCATTTGTCATTTTTTTGTTATGATAACATTGTAATAATATAAGGCATCTTTTTTATTTTATCTTTTTATGAAGAAAAATATAGATAATACAATGCTCTATTATCTGTTTTTATGTACAGATCTATGATGGGCCTAGCATTCACGCCCGCCTAATTGGAGCTTACTGTGGTACCCAGACTGAATCTTTCAGCTCCACTGGAAATTCTTTGACATTTCATTTTTACTCCGACTCTTCAATCTCAGGGAAGGGATTCCTTCTGGAGTGGTTTGCAGTGGATGCACCTGATGGTGTTTTACCTACCATTGCTCCAGGTGTGTTTGGTAATAAATGAAGTTCTTTTTAGGACTGATATGTGCAGGCCAATGTTTCAAAGGATCCTATCATAACAGGGGTCAGATATAAAAATAAGTACAGCCCCAAAGCCCTTCCACCATATGTTCAGATGTTGTTTTAAATTCATAAACACTACCTTTTGTAGAAATTGTACGTTTCTTTCTAAAAAATGCAGGTCCCATTATATTTTTTATATTAATTAGGGGCTTGATATCCATAAGATCGTCTACTTACAATTTCTAGAGACCACTTTAGAAATCCCTGAAAATTTGATTTGCAGATACTACACATGTACATTCACACACACACACAATCAGTTAGTTAAGGATCAACTCATAAAAGTAACTATTTTTCCTCTGCATTTTATTTCAAATGTAGCTTCAGAAATGCTTCAGTTTCTCCTTAGCTGGTTGTAAATTTCCATGTTTCAAAGTAAAATGGGCCGAATTTTAAACTTTTATTTTACTTTTTTACATTCCTAATCCCCTCAGTGAAAGTGATATTGAGCTAGCATTGTTTGGGGAGACTTTTTTCTTGAAAAATTTTTAAATGAGACCGGGTGCGGTGGCTGATGCCTGTAATCCCAGCATTTTTGGAGGCAGAGGTAGACGGATCACTTGTGGTCGGGAGTTCGAGACTAGCCTGGCCAACATGGCAAAACCCCATCTCTACTAAAAATACAAAAATTAGCTGGGCGTGGTGGAGCGCGTCTGTAGCCTCAGCTACTCGGGAGGCTGAGACATGAGAATTGCCTGAACCAGGAGGCAGAGTAGAGTTTGTAGTGAGCCGAGAACATGCCACTGCGCTCCAGCCTGGGCGACAGAGTGAGACTCCGTTTCGAAAAGAAAAGAAAAGCAATTTATTTAAATGAATTTGAGCGTTTCTTATGGATTTCAGGATTGACATAGAAGAAATTAATCAGATATTTCTTGGAGGATATTCTAAGTCCTTGAATGCTTGATTGGAACACAGAATCACGGTATCTCATTGAAGAATATTCGAACTCTGAACTTGTTCTATGACTTAAAAGATTAGCCTATTTGCTTCTAACTTCTTATATCAGCAGAAGTCACTAATGAAGATAATTTGTACTTATATTTATTTAATGTCCCTTAGTATTCCATTCTGAAATGTTGTTCCTACCTCTCTAATAAGGTGCTTTCATGACACTGAATACAAATCTCTTACTTAAAATATTGATCTGTCTATCTAAGAGCAAAGAACCATCAGCAAGACTGACAAATGCAATTTAGAGGCAACATTTAAATCTGGATGGATATATCCAGAGCTCTTAGAAATAAACTTGAGTTAAGCTTTCTTTTATATTTACAACCCTCAAGGTAGAAAAGGAATTATTTACTTGTGTAAAATATTATACCAACAAATTTTCTTCTAATATTTTATTACGAAATTTCATAATTATATGATGTAAGTGGACAGGTGAAGAAGAGAGCCATAAACCTTATTTTTCTTAGTCAAGAAGAAAAAGAAAAAAGGAAAGTAAGGGGTCAAGAGAATTTTAGAGTTTACTAATTATCTAGATGGCATAAGTGATTATCCTGTAATGATACCACACTGTGAAAGTGTCATTAAAACTTAAAAAACCTTAATATTTTGAAATATGTCAACTTATTGAGCATTGTCCTATCAGTATTTCTTTCTTTTTTTTTTTCTTTTTTTTTTTTTTTTTGAGATGGAGTCTCGCTCTGTCGCCCAGGCTGGAGTGCAGTGGCACAATCTCGGCTCTCTGCAAGCTCCGCCTCCCGAGTTCATACCATTCTCCTGCCTCAGCCTCCCAAGTAGCTAGGACTACAGGTGCCCACCACCACACCTGGCTGATTTTTTTGTATTTTTAGTACAGATGGGGTTTCACCGTGTTAGGCAGGATGGTCTCGATCTCCTGACCTCATGATCTGCCCACCTCGGCCTCCCAAAGTGCTAGAATTACAGGCGTGAGCCACTGCATCCGTCCTGTCCTATCAGCATTTCTTATACACACATATATTTATTTTAAATCAACGCATATTTATTGAGAATTTATTATGGATACACTGAGAAGACTAAGAAAGGAAAATGAGGTACAATCTCTACTCTCCAGGAGCTTAAAAGTAATGGGAACCAGGCACAGTGGCTCATGCCTATAATCCCAGCACTTTGGGAGGCTGAGGCAGGAGGGTTGCTTGAAGCCCAGGAGTTTGAGACCAGCCTGGGCAACAGAGGGAGACCCCATCTCTACAAAAGATTAAAAAAATTAGGTAGGCATGGTGGTGCATGCCTGTAGTCCCAGCTACTCAGGAGGCAGAGGCAGGGGAATCACTTGAGCCTACATGCTGCCAGTGAGCAGTGATCATGACACTGCACTCCAGTGAGACCCTGTCCTAAAAATAAATACATAAATAGTAAAAATAAATAATAAATAAAAGAGATTGGGAAAGAAAAAACACTCATATGTGAGTTAAGTAATGGTATCGTAATTAAATGGGTACATGACAAAGCAAATGGTAACAGTAGCAAATAAGCAAGGGAAGAAAAATGAGCTTACTGTGGACTAGGGTCAACTGAAGGAAATTCAATGTGTCAAGTAGGAAAAGCAGTCAGTGTGTCAGTCAGGAAAAGCTCAGCCATATGGCGGTAACAAACAATTTCAAACTCTTAGGTGCTGAAAACAACAGGTCTCCTTCTACATGTTCCTCTCGTGTTAACTGGGTGCCTCTCATCATCCATCACTTCCTAACTCAGGCTGTTGGAGCTGCCATTGTCTGCGATATTGCCTGAGACCATGGCAGTAGGCAAAAGAGCCCTTGGATGTCTCGGTTTAAAAGTGCTCACTGTAAAGTAACACATGCCTTTTGCTCATAGTTCATTGGCCAAAACTGGTCAAATGGCCTCTCTCAGCCACTTGCAGAATGCAGTTCTACCATGTGTTTGGAAGTGGAGACAAAGGAAATATTTGGCAAACAGCACTAATGACCCACAGTCATTATAACCATATTTTACAAATTCAAGATAAGAAATATTTCACATAGAGGAAAACCTTAAAATTTGAAGATACTGGATAACATTCAGCATTCAGATTTTCCATGTGAAATTGCTTTAAAAAAATCTGTAGCCTACATAGTAATAGGGTAAAGAAATCAGGACCTAGTTCTACAACATTTTATATTCACTTCCTGTTGGCCCTGATAAGATTCAAACATATTATGGTGTACAAGTTGTAAACTTCTGAAATGGTGAAGATTGGATCTCTGAAATATATTGCTACATAAAAGTGATGGCAAAAATAATTGTTAAAATCAACTTTTTGAGAACTCTGGAAATAGACCAAAGCCTTATAGCAATCTGCGGCATATTTATTCAAGAAAAATCACTGAATCTAAGTAAGAGTCATTTTTGTGGCATTCTCTTCCTATTCCCATCTCTCTCTCTCCTCCTAGCTTTGTAGTAGCCTCATGACCACAGTAGCTGTGAAAATGAGCAGCTTTAACAGCTGTGGGTGGTGGGGCCGCAGAGGTCCAGAAAACAGCGCATCTCCTCAGCATTGCCATTATTCCAGTTCAGCAACTTCCTGGAAAACTGCATTCTCAGGTCTTGTCTTCACAGGACCTGGGCAAGAGCTCACTCTTTTGTAAACAGCCCTGTCCCTGGGGTCTTTGCCGAAAACAATCAGCAACAGCTGTTTCACATCACAACCGTGCAAGGCAGTGACACCAGTTACAGCTAATGAGAAACTGACCAGTAAACTTGAAAGGAAAAAATGGGGAAGGAGATGCCCACTGGGGCTTTGAAAAGCTCCGACATGTTTCTGGAAATCTAGAAGGCCACACACATAGCCCAGCTGTGCACATGCCCAAAAATAGACCCCGAGAAGGACCTAATCTGTCAACTCAAAATTGCCTAGATATAAATTACAAAAGTAACTACGCAAAAATGATAAAGAAACATGAGAAACACAGGAATGAATACAGTTCTACCTCAGTAATACAGGGGATCCTCTACGTGTCTTTATTGATGCCTAAATAGTCAGCACTTGATATTAAATGGGTTATATAGCAAAATTATGGTGAAAATGGAGAACACAATGCATTTTTTTTACATCAAAGATCAATTGCGGAAATTGCAGCTTTCCGAATCAGTGGGTTACATACGATATTCATTGATTTCTCTGAGAAATTGTTTCAATTGGTTGCTTCTTTTCAGTAGAGGGCTGTCACTTTCAAGTGAAAAAGTGCTAGCTAGCGTCTTTTCCATTAGGGCTGTGTCAAAGATGTTGCTTTCTATTCTACAGGTGCTTGTGGTGGCTTCCTGAGGACGGGAGATGCACCCGTGTTTCTCTTCTCCCCGGGCTGGCCTGACAGTTACAGTAATAGAGTGGACTGTACGTGGCTCATCCAGGCTCCCGACTCTACCGTGGAACTCAACATTCTTTCCCTGGACATTGAATCTCACCGAACGTGTGCCTATGATAGCCTTGTGATACGAGATGGTGAGAACATTATAAAGAATGCTGAGTTTCAACCCTGACACATAATTAGTTCTAGTCCATTATCATCAGACTTGCATACTGCCTCCATCCGTTTGGTTTGGAATTACACAGATATTATGGTCAAGGAAGGCATCAGTACCAGAAATGGCTACAACTTCTGAAGGACATAGAAAGTATTAAATTACCGGTCACAGAATATCAGGAATAGCACATTTCTATAAGGAAAAAAGGCTTTTTTAGAGGCTTAAGAAGGAAAGAATAGTCTGAATGTCAACATTGTTCACCTGTCCTATTGAGATACCTCTGAGATAAATATTGATATTTTATGTTTCTGGCTGAAAAAAATACTTATAATTGTAATGTGACTGGACATAGTGGTTCACACCATAATCCCAGCACTTTGGGAGGTCGAGGAGAAGGATCACTTGAGTCCAAGAGTTCCAGACCAGCCTGGGCAGCAGAATGAGACCCTGTCTCTAAAATAATAATAAGAAGAATATAAAATAGTAATGTATTCATTTCTCTTTGTCCCCTGAATGTGGGTAGAATAGGTAGAGTTAAGGGGTGATATTGTTGTATTCTTTCCTTTGTACACAGGCATGGTGTTGCTATGTGACATAAAGTTAGAGACATAAATATTGCTGATGTATGCCTTATACAAAATTGGGCTTCACAGTCTGCATGGACTGGAATGAAGGAGGACAGCAGAAAGGCCACATCCTCCACGTCAGTATTTCTCAGTGTGGCCCCCAGATCCACAGCATCATTTGTTAGATGTACATGTTCTCAGCAAAAAGAAACGTGTTTGTCTTTGGCCCACAGGTTGCTAGTGTGCAAGATCTTGTCTCCCTTATCCCTGATCCCTAGACCCCTGCCGAGTGAGAAAAATCGAATGGTGAAGGTGCTTTATGTCCCTTCTGTAGAGGCAGAACACTAAGTAGAGACTCAAATCAATCATACACACATGATGAGATGTCAAAGCATGACACTCCCCCTTTTTCCCATCAGCAATCGGCTATCAGCACGTTGCACAGAGGAGTATCAAAGCACCAGAATGCCCTCTTCACATCTAAGCCTTCCTGTGCATACTGAAATTTAAAACTTTTCATGTAATGGAAAGGATGTGCATCCTTGCACACATATTCTAGTGTTCAGAACCTACTAGAAGTTTTAAAAAATATCTTTGAAAAAAATCTTAAGTAGGTAACTGCATCTATGAAGTAAATTATGGTTATTCTTTTAAAATCACATTCCATTGAGTTGTTTTTGTTCCATCACTAACTTCTCTTGGAAGCAGAGAGTCTGGGGAGCAGTCCTTTTTTCCTGTGTGGCTTTGCACAGGTCACAAAGTGGCTCCAAACCCGTTCTACCTGTGAGATAGACAAATACCTCCCTCACAGGCTTTTTCTGAGGATTAAGGAAAGTAATAAATGAAATCTTTTTAGCAAAAGTACAAGCATTTTGTAGATGATGAATTTGGAATAGTTTAGATTTCAGTTTACTTAGATGGAAATTTCTAAGAGAGGTTTAATCAGTGCCCTTGCTCAGGCACAGGGCGGCTTGAAAGAGCTAAAGAAACTCAGGTGCGTGCCAAAACAACACAAATGTTTTAAAGTGGTTATGCGGCCTTTCCGTATGGATTCCTTTTTATGCACTGGCAATGTGAGTAGATGCTCAATAAGGTTCCTTCCTTCCTCATTTGTTTAATTATTTATTCAAGAAATAGTTATTGAGTGCCTGGTCTGTGTCAGTTGGTGAGTATTGTAGTCATTTACACATTGTTAATATATTTTTATGACTAAATTTGATGTTTTTTTTTTTTTGAGACGGAGTCTCACTCTTTTGTCCAGGCCGGACTGCAGTGGCGCTATCTTGGCTCACTGCAAACTCTGCCTCCCGGGTTCATGCCATTCTCCTGCCTCAGCCTCCCTAATAGCTGGGACTATAGGCACCCGCCACCGCACTCAGCTAATTTTTTTTTTTTTTGTATTTTTAGTAGAGGTGGGGTTTCACTGTGTTAACCAGGATGGTCTTGATCTCCTGACCTCGTGATCTGCCCACCTTGGCCTCCCAAAGTGCTGTGATTACAGGTGTGAGCCACCACACCTGGCCTATGACTAAATTTTAAATCCCACTTCAATTATTTGTTCTTTGCCCAGCCAGCCTTTTGCTTCTGAGTAGCAGAAGCATGTAACATTCTGAAGCAAATATCTAAAGCCAACTGGCCACAGACAAAGATACTTATAGGCTATTCCTGCTCATGCAATTGGCCTGTCATCACAGGCCTTTGGCCGTATGGAGGCTGTGAACCTTCCTGGGCTACCCCAGAGAGGGTCATGCAGCATTCTTGGGAGAACTGAGTCACTGTCCCACCTGCTTATTCATTTTATAGAGTTGCCATGGTTCAAAATGAATCAGTTTCTTCCAGACCACGCATCTACCCATTCTGTATACCAAAGATCCCTCCAAACTGAGAGTCCATGAAACTACATTGGTCCTAGCAAAACTTTTAAATAGAAAAGAAATTGTATAAAAAAATCAGTAATCCTTTAATCTAGTTCCAGATCTTAAGTGTACTTTCTTCATGACCTTAGATAAATCATTTAATAGCATGGTTTTGGGGCATCTGAGGTTAATCTGCAAAGGTTAACATCACTGTTAACTTCTATCTCTATGCCCTTGCATACAGCAAAGTGGCTTGTAACTCCTGTAAGATTCAGTTCCTCATATACAAAATGGGGATAAAAATAAATGCCCACCTAATAGTGTCACTGTGAACATAAAATCAGATAGTACATGTGAAGCACTTAAAGGGGTATATACTAATTGCTCAATAAATGTCAGTCTTGAATAATCTTGGGGCCTCAGTGTCTATATCTGTAAATTGAAGAGGTTGGACTAGAGAAAGAATTGCCAAGTTGCCTTCTAGTGCTAGCCTTTACTGTTCTTTGACTTCCCCTCCTCTTTAAAGATTAGGCTCAAGATTAGGCTCAATCTTTCTGCAATCTATATGTTGAGGTTTTGGAAGGCTCCAGAAATACCCCAGTACTCAGTATGAAGACTGAAGGGGTGGATGGGCAAGTAACAAACCATCTGTGATTTTTGGGTCATCTTCCCACTAATGAGTAGGCTAATCAACAAGCACTTATTTTGAGATAAGCATTGTTTCACCAGATGATCTGGAGTGAATTTTAGAAAAGAAATCA
This sequence comes from Homo sapiens, assembly GCF_000001405.40. NCBI lineage: Eukaryota > Metazoa > Chordata > Mammalia > Primates > Hominidae > Homo > Homo sapiens. The sequence continues at coordinate 16,929,880 of NC_000010.11, read as the reverse complement.
AAATCAATAGACTCAACTCACTTTCATCCAGTGATAAAATATACACGTGAACTAATAACATATAATAAACTTCAAAATTTTGTAGTACAGGTAATCAGAGAATAAGTCAACAAAAAATAATATTGGGTGAAATGTGTAGCAAAATAGCATAATGAAGTGCACTTACTATAAATGCAAAAGAACTATAAGAGATACACTTTTGAATTATAAAGAATGCAAAAGTTTCCAGCGATCAGAAACCCTCCAAAGAATGCCATTTTGAGCATTTTGTATTTATAACTCTGCCATTACATTTGTAATCACAAGAATAGAAAATAACTTATTTTCTAAAGTGGTTAATAATGAATGAGTTTCAAGTTGTAGTCAGTGCCACAAAGAATCCATGTGGCTGGTTGTATAAAAGGGCATATTTACTCATGTCTCATATTCTATTTTTGTTTTTTATAAACTCGAGATTTATTAATTCTCTGCCTTAGGACAAAAGAGAAAAAAACAACATATTTTCCCAGCCACGGCATCCAAGTCTGCTATAATCCCCTTTGCTCCATTTTGGTTTCAGCCGGCACAGGGGCTTTGATCAAAGCTTATATCCAAGATAATCAAGATGAAAGGAGACGTGTGGTGCCCCTGCTGTCCTTTGTGTCTCTGTGGGGGTGGGGCACAGTTGCTGGAACTCTTCTCTCACCCTCCACACAAATGTGTGGTTGTTTTTATACCAAAACAAACAAAAGCAATGAACAAACACAGATGAAAAGTTTTGTTTAAAAAAACCCCACTGGCACTGAAGAAAGGGCACATACAATTGCATACCTTTTGGTGAATGATATTGTAACATTAGTGTAGGATCTGAGGTCAAAGAGCCAACTGTTTTTTTTTTTTCTTTTACCTACTTGACCTTCAGCAATCAGAGTAACTGAGGTCAGAGTCTCTAATCGACAGACATATCATCACTGGGTCTCCATCGCTTCCCAATCCCAGGTACTCTGATTTTGAGTTTTAGTGACAGGGAGAACTGGCAGCCAGTTTTTAGAAAGACGGTGGAAACTGTCAAAGACGTCTTTATCAAAAAGGGTAAAGAACCCAGCACTTTGGGAGGCTGAGGAGGGCGGATCACTTGAGATGAGGAGTTCAAGACCAGCCTGGCCAACATGGTAAAACCCCTGCCTCTACTAAAAATACAATAATTAGTCAGAAGTGGTGGTTCACCCCTATAAAACCAGCTACTCAGGAGGCTGAGGCAGGAGAATCACTTGAACCCCAGAGGCAGAGGCTGCATTAAACCGAGACTGTGCCACTGCACTCCAGCCTGCGCAACAGAGGAAGACTCCATCTCAAAAAAAAAAAAAAAGGGGGGGGTGGGGTGGGGTGGGGGTAAAGAAAAGGGCAGGAAGCACCATTGCAAGCTGGAGCCAGAATGATATCACCCCTGAGGGGTCCTTCTTTTTGAGGATCCCATTATCTCCTACGAGTCCTGATGTTCTGAGAAAAATGTGTGAGCTGCTTTGGCTAAGCTGCAAATGATTGTAGAGTAGATTCTCAAGATGTATTTTCATGTTGTTCCCTTTCTTTCAACGTAGGAGATAATAACTTGGCCCAGCAGCTAGCAGTTCTCTGTGGCAGAGAGATCCCTGGGCCCATCCGGTCTACTGGAGAGTACATGTTCATCCGCTTCACCTCGGACTCCAGTGTAACCAGGGCAGGCTTCAATGCATCCTTTCACAAGAGTAATGAGTTCAAATATTTTTTAATCCCATGTTATCTCATCTCCTCTCTTTTCCTCTCTCTTTCTCTCTTCCTAATATAATGTTTTTGGGCACCAGGACACAAGACAAGTCAGAGGACATGGGTCTCTGCCCAGGCTCTGGATGGCTGGCTCCCCTTACATCAGTGCTGAGTCCTCATCCAAAGCACTGGGGCCAAGTCGTACAAAAGTGTGCTGCCTTCAGGTCTCTGGTGTGGCATCTTCGCTCCAAAGGAGGTGTGTCCAGGGAATGCATGAGAGAGAGCTTTAAAGCAATTTTTCAGCCTAGCTGAGGGCTGGAACTAGATAGAGCACAGCTCATATCCATAACTCATCGAAGGAGCAAAACGTCATCATTTATTCTCATAAATTACTTGGTTGAAGTCAGCCATCTGAGGGTTGGCAGGAAGAGTTTGTTGCTCTTGAAATATGAATTTGATGAGTCAAAAGCGGGCACCATATATGGGATACCATCATGCACAGTATGATTGAGACTTTTCAAACTTGACATGTGAAGTCCAGTAACAGCCTTAAATCCAAACTAACTGAAAGGTGATAAAGTAGTCCAAGGAAGAGTGAAAGACTCTCATGTTTTGATCAAAAAACATAATTTTAAAGTAGATTCTCAATCTAACATTAAAAATTAATCTAATATTTCCTCCATGCTTATATATACCTTTTATAAAGTAGGGAGCAACTGAAGATAAGTTGTGTTCCTCACGCTCAAGGGAGGCAGGCTGCATAGTGGCTTAAGAGCATGGGCTTTGGAACTAGACCTAAGATACATTTTCACCTCTACAATTTAACTAGCTGTGTGAGATGTCTGCCCTTACTGATGAGCTTCTGGTCCCTGACAACTGGAGAATTAATGCCTCCTCCTTTTATCCTCTTCCTTTATCTCCTGCCCTCTCACTCTCATGTATATATTACTATGTATCGCAACTCATTATACATACATACATGTATACACATGTATGTATATAGTAAGGGTGGAACCATTGGAATTAATATGTGTGTTTATATATGTATATAATATATATAAATATGTGTGTGTGTCTATGTATATATACATACTTGGCAGCTCCCGGTCTAGAATGTATTTCAAATTTAACCTGTGAGTGGTATAATGGACTTTGGAGACTCAGAAGTGGGGAGGATGGGTGGGGTATGAGGGATAAAAAACTACATATTAGGTGTAATGTATACTAGTCAGGGAACCAGTGCACTAAAATATAGACTTCACCAGTATGCAATTCATCCATGTAACGAAAAACCACTTGTATCCCAATTAGACTAGATAGATAGATAGATAGATAGATAGATAGATAGAAAAAAAAATTTCACCTTTGAAAGTTGAACACTTTATTCCCACCCTTTTCCATGCCACCACCCCCCAATTCTACACTCCTCATAATCTCAGCAAATGGAAAGTACATTTTTCTCATTATTTAAGTCAAAATCTTGATGTTATTTTTGACTTTTCTGTTTGTCTCACACTTAACCATCAACAAATCACACTGGCTCTACCCTCACAATGTATCTAGATTCCAACCACGCCTCTCCATTTCTGTTGCTACCAGCCTAGCCCGTGCACCTATCATCTCTCCTTGGCCTCAGGCGGTCCCCTCCTTATTGGACACTCTGCTCCTGTCCTTCCCTGTCCTCCACCCCTTACAGTCTAAGGACTGCACATAGAGTGACATTTTCAAACTTAAGTGAGATCATGCCATTCTGATGCCCAAAACCCTTCAACATCTTCCTCTTCTTATTCAGAATAAGTCTTTTCAGTTTCCTGCATGACCTAGCCATGCTACCTTTGGAATCTCTCATTCTGCCTCATCCATTCTGACTTCCATGATGTACCTCTAACACATCAAGCCTTTACACTGTTTTCTGAACTGGAATGTTTTCTCCCCCATAACTATCTGGCTTGATCCTTCATTTCATTCATGTCTCTGCTAAGATGTTACTCCAATGACGTGGCTTTTCTAACTTAACTCTAACAATAAAGTACCCTTCTCCCTCCTCTCATCCATTTTTCTTTATAGAATTTATCACCATCTCACATATCATGTATTTGTTTATTGTATGTCTTCCCCATCTATAAAGAAATCTTTATGAAAGCAGGTAATTTGTCTTGTTTACTTACCTCTGTATCCCAGATCTCAATGACCACCACAAACTGAGTAGCCAATAGCATGTGCTCAATACATGCTTGTTATGATAATCATTTCCTGCACTCTGGCTTTATTTTCAAGCATTTTTATTGCCTCCACTTTGAAAACCCCCCAAGAAAACTAAGAAAGCATAAAAATCCAGTTGCCAATGCTATTTAAATAACCGACCTTTGTTTCTTTGTGGGAAGGCTGCGGTGGATATTTGCATGCAGACAGAGGGATCATCACGTCCCCCAAGTATCCAGAGACTTACCCATCCAACCTCAACTGTTCTTGGCACGTCCTGGTCCAAAGTGGCCTGACCATTGCTGTCCATTTTGAACAGCCTTTCCAGATTCCAAATGGAGATTCTTCTTGCAACCAGGGGGATTACTTGGTGGTAGGTCTTGCTGCTACCCTTTCTAATTACATTTTCCATAGACTTCATTCAGAAAACAAAATGATAATTTTTCTCTCCTGGGACATAAATGGATAAGAATTGCGTACTCCTTCTTTTGCAATGTAAAGGAGTTGATGAAATTTTAATTTGTCTTTCCAGCTAAGAAATGGTCCTGATATCTGTTCTCCACCCTTGGGACCCCCTGGAGGAAATGGTCATTTTTGTGGCAGTCATGCTTCATCAACTCTGTTCACCTCGGATAATCAAATGTTTGTTCAGTTTATTTCTGATCACAGTAATGAAGGGCAAGGATTTAAAATCAAATATGAGGCAAAGAGTTTAGGTAAGTATTTTCACTGAGAATTATATCTGCTTTTCCTGCAATTGCTTGATCTTCTTTGATATAAAATTTTCTTTTCTGAACCAACAGTAATAGAATTAATAAGAATGCCTACTCTCAAGTACTTATTATATTTGATACATTCAATATCTCATCGTGACTACTTTTCAAGTAAAGTATCATTATTTCCATTTTAAAGATAAATAAAATGAGGCTTGGACTTTTCCAAGGCCACATACCTAATTAGTGACCAAAGTGAAATTTTCCATGAGTATAAAATAAACTATTCTTCTTGATCCCTGGAATTCCTTAGACCTTTCCATTATAAGATGTCTAATTGTAAGTTAATTCTAGTTACAGAAACATTATAAGACTTACATTTGCCTTATTTTGTAATAATTTGTATGCTGTTTTCAAAAGAACACATAATTTTTTGATTCTATTATTACTGATTTAATTATATATTACATGATATCTGTAATTGCTTGTACTTAATTACACTTGATTATAATTGCATTTAATTCTACTGTAATGATTTGATTTTGATGACATTTGCTTTTTAGTAATGTTTAATTGAATAAATAAATAAATAAATAGGCATCACTTCAAAAAAAGGGAGTAATGTCAGTAGAAAGTAATATAATAATAAATTTTTCCTTTGTCCCACCAGAAGTTAGATAATATAGATTTCAAAATGATCCTATGACTTGAATCCCAGATTCATATATATATATATGTAAATGAAATCATATGTTTTATTGCACATTGTATGAGATTTAAAGTCAACATGGTTTCTTTATTTTGGTAAAAGAGATGAATAAGAGTCTTCACCAACTGACACACAAAAATAAGCAAATAGCTTGAGTAAGGTCCAGAACACCAGGGAAGGAGCTTTGGTCACTTCCCAGAGCTCTGGCACAAGGAGGGAGCTTTAATGCAGCTCTGTGGGCACCCGCGCCATTGCTTTCTAAGCTGGGACCTTCTCATCCCTCCATCTCTTGATGCTGAGCTTTGCAGCTGAGTCATGAATGGGCAGTTTTCACCTGGTACCAAAGCATTTCAAGAGTAGCAGTGTCCTGAGTCTAGTGAGTAGACGTCAGCCCATCCTACCCATCCTACATAACTCTACTCTTTTGTTTTTGTTTATAATAGACTCAGTCTTTTTTTTCTTTCTTGAGACAGGGTCTCTCTGTCGCCCAGGCTAGAGTACAGCGGCATGATCTCAGCCTACTGCAACCTCTGCCTCCCAGGCTCAAGTGATTTCCTGACCCAGCCTCCCTAGTAGCTGGGATTATAGGCATGCACCATCATGCCCAGCTAATTTTTGTACTTTTGGTAAACATGGGATTTCACCATGTTGCCCAGGCTGGTCTTGAATTCCTGAGCTCAGGTGAGCCACCTGCCTTGGCTTCCCAAAGTGCTAGGATTACTGGAGTAAGCCACCGTCCTCAGCCAATAGACTCAGTTTGATTTATATTTTTAAAGTCAACATTTAGTGGTAATTCAGATACACTAAGAGATACACTAAGGGTGTGTTTGACATTGCACCTCTTCTATTCCTTTGTGGATTCACTGTTCATGCAAGTATGGTTATGGCCATTACTTTCTCCCTGTCTTTCTTGAAGCTTATTATGACTGCTGTTAACATCAGACTTAAAAGTCTTTTGATTTCACAACCTGTTCTTGGCAACCTGAAACAACAGCATCACTGTTATTTCTCTCTACTTACCAACTCAAGATTGTTCCATAACTATAGCCAGCCTTCTACTTCCCACGTCTATCTGGCTATCTTCCCACCATATCTATTTCCATGCCACTCCCACTTCTCAGCCTTTAACCTAGGTCCTTTTGTGAACATTTTTTGACATCAAATCACCTAGTTTTATACCATTTTTCTCCAGAGACACTCCTTCGCTATGGTTGATTGAGATTTCTAGGACCCTGTGGTAGATGCCTTTTATTCTCACCTGATTAATAGGCCTGTTAATTAATTAGTCAAACATTTACAAGGTGTTTCACATCATGCAAACCACCGAGTTCTGCCAAGGAGTTCACAGTGTGGTAAAGGAGACAGACAAGCAAAGGCACAATTAGAACATGATATAAGGCTGGGCACGGTGGTTCACGCCTGTAATCCCAGCACTTTGAGAAGCCAAGGCAGGAGGATCACTTGAGCTTAGGAGTTTGAGACCAACCTGGGCAACATAGAAAGACCTTAGTTTTCAAAGTAGCTGAACATGGTGGCGCACTTCTGTGGTTTCAGCTGCTCAGTAAGCTGAGTTGGGAGGATCACTTGAGCCCGGGAAGTTGAGGCTGCAGTGAGCCACGATCATACCACTGCACTCCAGCCTGAGTGACAAAGCGAGACCCTGTCTCAAAGGAAAAAAAAAAAAAAAGAACATGGTATATGGTATAATAAGTGCTAGAAAGAGGAATGCACAGAACAGAAACACCTACTTCAGCCCAGGACATCAGAGAGGGTTCCAGGGGAAGTGGATGAAGAGATTTGCCCATCAGTGATAAAAAGATGTGAATGCATAGAAAATCTCAATGTTACAAGTCATATTCAATAATTTGAAAGAATTCACTACTGCTAGAGATCAGAGTCAAAAAGAGATAAACATAATAGTGATGAAGCAGGCAGGAATCACTCTGCTCAGGGCCCTGGATGCCACCCTCAGTTAGTTAAGATGTTAATCAAAAGGTTATGGGAGGCATTGGAAGTTTTTGCTCCAAAGCCTGAACAGCGTGATCAGATTAAAAACACTAATGTAGCTGCAACACTGAAAACATTGGAGATGGGGAAGGCTGAAGAGAGAGAGACCAGATGAAAGAGTAATTTAGGGAAAAAATTTACTCCCTGAACTAAGGCAATGGCAGTAAGAAGGTAGGAGAGAGGGCATATCAAAGATATTATAAATACAGGATTGAGTGAATTTGGCGGTCAGTTGGATGTGAGGCAGGAGGGAAGGGATGGGAGGAGCCTTAGGAGCAGTTGTTAGGTTTTTGGCTGGGTGGATCCATTCTTCCCACAGACATTTATCAAGAACTTTCCATGGGACAGACACTGTATCAGGCCCCGGGGATGTGGCAGTAAACAAACAAAATCCATGTCCTCATGGAACCTAATTCTAGTGTTAAGATGCAGACAATAAATAAGTAAAATATATAATATGCCATATGGTGAAAGGTATCAAGGAGAAAAATAAGGCAGTAAGAGTGGATGCAGAGTGTCCATAGGAAGAGGGGCTGATGCTGTCATCAGCAGACTCAGGTATGGAGCTCTGGATGACGAGCAAATGAGAATGTTCATTTGAGACAAGTTCAGTTTGAAATCTCTGAATTACCTCCATTGGAGATGCCCAGTAAGTGGTCGGAACAGGAATCTCGAGGTCAGAACAGGGATCTAGACTGAATCTGTAAATACGGAATAATCAACAGACTGCTTATCATTTAAGTCATGAGGATGTATGACAGCAATTGGGGAATTATTCAGAGTGAGATGAAAGGCCTACAGGAGGATTCCTGAGGGCCTCCAGCAATGTCAGGGAAGCCCTGGAGAGATGCGCCCAAGGGCCAGAGGAAGAATGACATGAAGAGTAAAAGGAGGAGAAGAGCTTGGTGTCAGAAGCCAAGGGACAAAAATGTAAAGAAGAACAGTGTGATCAACTGTGTTAAATGCTGTGGATATAAAATAAGAATTTAAAAAGTTCTTTGGGCATATAACTGTGAGGTGACTTGGGAGAACATGAGTGCTTTCATAGGGTTGAAGAAGGAAGGGCAAAAAGAGAGAAGGAGAGAGACAGACAGACAGATAGGGAGAGAGAGATTAAATAGGGCAAGATCCTGGAGGAGACAGTAGGATGGGAACTTGATCCAGAGATACAGGAAGTTAATGTACAGAGGGAAAAATAGAGTGTAGAGATGCAGATTAATTTATTGAGGATAGTAATAAATTAGGGGTAACAAATGGAAGAGATTCTCATCTGATTTCTTCTACTTTCTTTGTAAAGTGGAGCCTAATGTAATGTGCTTAGAATCAAGAGGAAATGGGGAAAGTCAAGGGCTTAGGGAGTAAAGTTCCAAACAGCCATTGTAGTTTATATGAAAAGTAATGGGTGAATTGCTTGGCTGTGTTGAGATGGGAGAACATATATTTGCAGGGGCATCAATTTCCATGAATGAATGGCTTGAATTGAACACAACCACGGAGTTGGTATTTTGCAAGGGAAGTTTGAAGGAAAGACACGAAGCGAGGGAGTTGGAGCTCATCAAAGGGATTTGCAATTTAGAGTTTCAGAGATGGGGGAGTTGGAAGTATGACAGAATTCAGGATGTGACTGTAAGTGGATGAGTGACAGTGGACACAAATGTTCTAGAGTTGAGCAGATCAAGTATGTGTATGGCTAAGTGATTGGACAGGTTAATTTCATTGGCATTGTAAGTACTTTTACTCCTATCTGGTTTGTTTGTTGAAAATGCCAAAGAATATTTATTGATAATAGAAAAATATTTTTTGATAATGCTTTGGTTTTTTAGAAAAGAAATATTAAAAAGCTCCTTTATCCTCTGGCATAACATTACTAATAAATTATTTCATTCCATTGATCTTGGTTCTCAAATGCATCTAAATCCTGAAGAAATCTAATGAATGAATGCTCCCCGAGTTGTGCAAAGATATATCTGCTTAGTCTTTTAAATATACCAAGATCATAGCTCTGCATCATTCTGCTGTACTGAATGCTCAGTGGGAAGCTGTAACTGCTAGCATACTTACATGCTTATCGAAGTGGTGGATATTTATTCATGCTTCTGTGATGTTCTGCCCCGTGCACCATGTGCCATAATCATTTGGTTGGCTTTAAGAAAGAATGAAATTTCCAATGAGAATAGATAAATGGTCTGGCAAAATAAAAAGTGTCACACCTCGTAGCTCCCTCGATAGCAAATTGAGAATTTGTTTGCTGGAAAAGAAAATGAGGATCATAACAGATGAAAGGAAATGGAGACAAAATACAGAGAAGTCGACTTTAAAAGATGATTTGTGGCCATTGACTGCATCCCCTTCACCAGATCATAGACTGATTTAAGTGTGTTTGCTCACAGCCTGTGGGGGCAACGTCTACATCCATGATGCTGATTCTGCTGGGTATGTGACCTCCCCCAACCACCCTCATAATTATCCCCCGCACGCTGATTGCATTTGGATCTTAGCGGCTCCACCGGAAACACGCATACAGCTGCAATTTGAAGATCGATTCGATATTGAAGTAACACCCAAGTATGTCACTTCCATTTTCATTTTTTTCCTACCCCAAGTTAGTATTTTTTAACCGTCATGTCTCAAAACAGTCCATTTCTTTCAGTAGCACATACTGCAAGGAAATCTAGGGGAAAAGGGAAATGCTTAATGGCTCAGGCCTGAAAACACAGTCGGCCAGCCACTCTCCCATCAGCTGAGCCGGTTATGTACGTGGATACTGTCCCTTGTGACCCTAGACACTTCCTGCAAGGGACACTGAGGGTGGCTACTTGAGATTGATGTTATCCATTCTTCCTCCCACAGGAAATATATCATGTTTCTGATAGATGAATATTTATTTGACCAGCCTCATATTCGGTGTCACAAATGATAAAATGTCTGTTTAACAAATGGGAATTTGTGTGGTGTGTCACCAGGGGTCAGCACTGTCGGAACAGTACTAAAGCATGCACAGTATAATTTCTCAGTCTTTATTTAATAAGAGTTCTGAAAGGATTACAAAACAGTAAGTCTTACTATGTTGAAGAGAAAGAAAAACTATATTGATCGTAGAAAACATTTTTCTCTTTCCTTGAACAAAAGTATGTATACATTTGCATGAATGCAGCTGTGGTGCAAAACTTGGATATAAGATCTTCTGTTGCTATTTCTGGCACTGGGTCTAATACTACTTTTCCACTCATGGAGCATTAATTGGCTAATGTGACTTCCTGAAGAAACGTTAGATACATGCTTATCTACTTTTATGGACACAGAAAATTCCAGTTGGGACGCTCCATTAGTCCCAATTACAGAGCTGTTAGAGAATTTATCTTTGTCCTGTGAAATGTATCAAGTCATTGTGTGGAACAAAATATTTGTTGTTTTTTGAAATTCCTAGGGACTAATTTGAAAGCAACATTTATGTTTGTAAAACCAATACAGAATATGGAAGGGAAGTAAATATTCTTGAATGTAGAACATGTAAAACCTGTCTTTTGAGCTACTAATAAAAGAATGTATTATTAGGAAAAATATCATACAGCATTTTAAAGTGACATGGCTTATGCTGATTCTATCATAGTTTTTTATGCTAAGAAATGATGATTTAATAATATCTTCAAAGAAAGTAAGTAAGGTTGTCATTATCAAAATAAGCATCTGACCATGTAAATTTAACAGAATTTTGTTCCCACTTCAGCTGTACTTCCAACTACCTTGAGTTGCGGGATGGAGTGGATTCGGATGCACCAATACTTTCCAAATTTTGTGGGACATCTTTGCCCAGCAGTCAGTGGTCCTCAGGAGAGGTTATGTATTTGAGATTTCGATCTGACAACAGCCCCACACATGTGGGATTCAAGGCCAAGTATTCTATAGGTAATAATTTTTTTAAAACTTTTATTTTAGGTTCAGGGGTACATGTGCAGATTTGTTATATAGGTAAATTCGTGTTTGGGGGTTTGTTGTAGAGATTATTTCATCAGCCAGGTACTATGCCTAGTACCTAATAGTTATTTTTTCTGCTCTTCTCCCTTCTCCCACCCTCCACCCTATCAAATGAAAGAAAATTCCGTGCTCATGGATAGGAAGAATCAATATTATTAAAATGGCCATACTGCTCCCCAAAATTTACAGATTCAATGGGATTCCTATCAAACTATTATGACATTCTTTGCAGAACTAGAAAAAACTATTTTAAAACTCATATGGACCCCAAAAAGAACCCAAATAGCCAAGGCAATCCTAAACAAAAAGAACAAAGCTAGGGGCATCACAATACCTGACTTGAAACTATACTACAGGGCTACAGTAACCAAAACAGCATGGTACTGGTACAAAAATAGACACATAGACCAATAGAATGGAGTAGAGAGCTCAGAAATACGGTCTCACACCTACAGGCATCTGATCTTCAACAAAGCTGACAAAAGCAAGCAATAGGGAAAAGATTCCCTATCCAATAAATGATGCTGGGAGAACTGGCCAGCAGTATACAGAAGATTGAAACTGTACCCCTTCCTTATATCATATACAAAAATTAATTCAAGATGGAGTAAAGACTTAACTGTAAAACACGAAACTATAAAAACCCTGGGAAACATTTTTATATTAAATAAGAGTTATTATAGAATGAATATGTTAAAACTTTTTTAAAAACCATGACTTTTTAAAAATAAGTCTATTTGCCTAATTTTAAAAATATTTTAATGCTAGAAATAAGTAAGGAGTGTAAATGTTTGAAACTACAGTCATTAATCAACTTTAATTTCTCTTTTAATTTTCATTTTAAAAAGTAATCTTAGTAAACTTAAATATTTTATATTTTCTCTAACTTATTTGTGAAGAAATATATGTGGTTAAATCAAACTCCTGTTTCTTCAGCTTACTATGAAATACAGTAGTTCTCTCTTATCCATGGTTTCATGTTCCATGGTTTCAATGCCCTTGGTAAACAGAGGCCCAAAAATAGGTGAGTACAGTACACCAAGATATTTTGAGAGACCACATTTACATAACTTTTCTAACAGTATACTATTATGATTCTTCTATTTTATTATTAGTTATTGTTGTTAATCTCTTATGTCTAATTTATACAGCAAACTTTATCATAGGTCCATATATAGAGAAAAAAACAGTCTATATGTCTGTATAGGGTTTGGTACTATCTGAGGCTTTAGGCACTCACTGGGGGTCTTGGAATGTATCCCCCAAGGAAAAGGAAGAAATGCAGTATGTTTATTACTTTAAGTAATAAAACCATTTAAGAACCAGGTAACTCTATTTAGCACAGTGTCTTTGAATTCCTCATCAAATATAAAATAATTAACCTTTTTTTTCTCTGAGTCTCTAGTGCCAAATCAGTCACTGGATAAAAAGCAAACATGTCAGTGGGGCATGGTGGCTCATGCTTGTAATCCTAGCACTTTGGGAGGCTAAGGCAGGTGGATCACGAGGTCAGGAGTTCAAGACCAGCCTGGCCAAGATGGTGAAACCCTGTCTCCACTAAAAATACAAAAATTAGCCAGGCATGGTGGTGGGCACCTGTAATTCCTACTACTCAGGAGGCTGAGGCAGAGAATTGCTTGAACCCAGGAGGCGGAGGTTGCAGTGAGCCGAGATTGCGCCACTGCACTCTAGGCTGGGTGACAGAGCAAGACTCTGTCTCAAAAAAAAAAAAAAGAAAGAAAAAGAAAAGAAAAAAAGAAAGCAAATATGCCTCTTCAGCATTTTGATTTCCTTATTTAAAAAATGAGCGGTTGAAGATTCACTATAATATGGTCACAATAGCACATAATTTGGTATCTAATAGGTTTAGACACAAACCAAACAAATATTTAATACCGCGAAAGTTCAGAAAGCCTAGTGGTAACAATGTTTAACTACACCATAGATCGTGTTATATCCTGAGTCAAGCTGCATATAATTCAATTAGCTATCACACCCAGCTAATAAGACATAATTGAATAGTAATTTTCAAGGCCCTGAGATATCAGTTACTGTAGTGAACTGTTTAGTTGAGAGTAAAACTAGGAATGGCAGGTGTCCCCACAGTACCCCTTCCAGCTGAGCTTGGGTTCAGTCTTTAGGATCAACACAGGGTACTAGGCAGGCCAGATCAGCCTATCAGTTGGTTCTTGAGATGAAACTTACTTGCGACTATTAGCTCTTACATAGTGTCCCAAAAGAATTAATGTGACATTACAGAATATTCCATTTAGTCATCATCTTCTGTTTCCCATTATTGTATTGGACTTGTGGTATCATTTCTGTTTACATCAACAGTAGAATTCAAATAATGAGGAAAGCACTAACCGTTTTCAGAATTTTTAAAACTTCAATTCAGAGTCACTTGGCACCTAAAAGTTTTCAAATGTGCTGGTGAAATGAAGAAAACAAAATTTGTAATAGAATCAATCTTTCTTGCTTGCTTGCTTTCTTATTTATTTATTTATTTTTATTTTTTGCAGCTCAGTGTGGGGGAAGAGTACCAGGGCAAAGTGGTGTTGTTGAAAGCATTGGACATCCAACACTTCCATACAGAGACAACTTATTCTGTGAGTGGCATCTCCAGGGGCTCTCTGGACACTATCTCACCATCTCTTTTGAAGACTTTAACCTTCAGAATTCTTCTGGCTGTGAAAAAGACTTCGTGGAGATCTGGGACAATCATACCTCTGGTTAGTAAAATATATCTGCTCTCTTTTGGGTGTTTATTTTCACATGTACTTATTCAGCCTCTGAAGTTTCTTCACTTCCAAGAAAGGCAAAAGCACATCTATACTCTGCAGAGAAGTGCAGACTAATGAGCTTTGGGCAGTACTGGTGATTCTCTCCCTCAATTCTACCATTAACAATGGATGCCCAGAGCCCAGGTGTCATATAGCCCACCCTGGAGGCCACTTGGGGAGAGCAACGGTAGTGGGAAGGCACCTCTTGCTGCTGAGACATCCCATTGCCACATGCCGTTATTTGAGGGGTGTTCTATAGCTTGAGATGGGGAAGGGATCATGCATGTCTCCTAGTGGTAGCATAAGGCAGATACTTGTCACTGTTGTCTCAGATCATTTTTTCAACCAAATGAGCAAGCCTTCCTCATTGTGCTGAGATATCCTTCCCCTAATTGGTTGCATTTTTTTCACTTCTTCATGTATTTGAATATGTTCATTTTTATTCATGTTTTCCTGTTGTCTTGACAGAGATTAACGTTTCTTCATAGGCAGGGTCTTGTTTTTTATTATTTTCTTTGTACACACAGGACACCTTGAATAGAGGGTAAAGGAAATCAATCACTTGGACATGTATATTTAATTATTTGTCTCTCACAGGAAACATCTTGGGCAGATACTGTGGAAACACCATTCCTGACAGCATAGACACTTCTAGCAATACTGCTGTGGTCAGGTTTGTCACAGACGGCTCTGTGACTGCCTCAGGATTCAGACTGCGATTTGAATCCAGTATGGAAGGTGAGTTCATTGATTCATTCAACACAACATTGAGCACCTGCATTGGACAGACACTATGCTAGGCACCAGTGTTAAAATATTTGAAAAACAAAACAAAACATGACCCCTATTTTCTTGGACCTTAATCAGAAATTCACAGTGATAAATGAAAAATTACAGCTGTGATCAATGCTATAAGGGAAAATAACTAGTATCACGAGAGAGATAATAAGAGGATGAGAGTTATACTGTAATGCCCACCTTAAGAGAGTCCTGTAGTTACTCAGAATTTGTCTTACTGCAAACCCAACAAACTCAAATGAAATAAAGATCTTGTTCAGAAAAACTGGGTACTTAACATTAACTTTCTGATTTTCCTCTTTTTTTTTTTTTTGTGAACATGGGGTCTTGCCTTGACCTCCCAAAGTGTTGGGGTTACAGGTGTGAGCCACCACTGCTGGCCAATTTTCTTGATTCTTTTTTTTTTCTTTTCTGAGACAGTGTCTCGCTCTGTTGTCCAGGCTGGAGGGCAGTGGCATGATATCAGCTCACTGCAACCTCTGCCTCCCGGGTTCAAGCAATTCTTCTGCCTCAGGCTCCTGAGTAGCTGAGATTACAGGCGCACGCCACGACGCCCGGCTAATTTTTGTATTTTTATTAGAGACGGGATTTCACCATGTTGGTCAGGCTGGTCTTGAACTCCTGGCCTTGTGATCTGCCTGCCTCAGCCTCCCAAAGTGCTGCAAGTGTGAACCACCATGCCTGGCCCGATTTTCCTGATTCTTAAGTTCATTACATTCATTGGTCTCTCATTTCTTGGGCCATGATGATAACTAAATTGCTGCCTGTGGACTATCACCCATGGAAGGCAGGGTTAAATATTAATAGAGATAAAAAATGAATGTATATGTTCACTAAAATCCTCATGCACATAAATAAATATGGAGACTAATTTTATCTAGAAGGATAATTTTTAAATACCTGAATTTTGAGAGCTTTCTTGATGGAAGGAAACATTTTGATTTGATTGAAAGTTTTCTTGGCTTTTTCCCCACGTCAGAGTGTGGTGGGGATCTTCAGGGCTCTATTGGAACATTTACTTCTCCCAACTACCCGAACCCAAATCCTCATGGCCGGATCTGCGAGTGGAGAATCACTGCCCCGGAGGGAAGGCGGATCACCCTAATGTTTAACAACCTGAGGCTGGCCACGCATCCGTCCTGCAACAATGAGCATGTGATAGTAAGTGTTCCCTGCCGCCTGAGATGTTATATTCCATCATTTAAAGAGTTTACCGACCCATAAATCATAGTCAGAAAACTAGGTCAGGAAAATTGCCATCTATGCAACTATAACTCAGACAAATTCTAAGTATTGTTGAAAGAACAAAATCACAGTAACCTGTCAAAATAATTGTAAAAGTTGTTTGAAGAGACTATCAGCTATCACTCTGTGCATCAGGGTCATAGAATAAATTTTAAGAGTGAATGATCACGACAAATGGCAAAACCGGAGAGGCTGTGGGAAGCTAAGCCTACAGCAGCACACAGCTGAATGGGACCAGAGTCACAGCACAAGCCACCACGAAAGTTCTGAGCAGGTGGGTGGTCCTGCATAAGCACTGCTCTCTCCAGGGGTACAGAGGGACTCTTGGTGGGAGAGCACTGCTACGTGACCTCCATGTCACCAACCTCCAGTGGTTTCACATGTGTCTTCAGCACTCTCAGCTTCCTGCAGTGAAAGAAAGCAAATGAGATCCCTGAGTGTGAATAACAAATAGATTGTTAACTGTGAAGTGCTGTGCACACATATGTGTGTGTAGATAGGAAGATTGGATTAATATTAGTAAATTTATCCACCCAACTTGCCCCTTCTGCAGTGTTTGTTATCTCAGTAAATAATTCCAAACTTCTGGTTGCTTGGGTCAAAAATCTTGATGTCTATTTTGGAATCCTTCCTCTCACACCCTATATGGCATCTATAAGCAAGTCCCATTGGGTGTATCTTTAAAAATATCCACAATTGAACTATTTCTCATCATATCTGCTACTAATACCCCCACCGTTCACTTGGATTATTTTAGAAAGTTCCACCTCGTCCCCCTGGTTCCGTTCTCCTCTCCCTACGTTCTCAACACAGCAGCATGTGATGGTTTTAAACCTCAATCGGATCATGTTGCTGCCTTTGAAAATCCTCTAATGGCTTCTCATCTAACTCAGAGGAAAATCCCAAATTGCACCTGTGGCCCACCTGGCTGACATTATCTGCTGCCCCTCCCTCTTCTACCTGTTTGTCTTATCTCAAACTCCTCTCTTCTTTGCTCTCTGGGATCCAGCCACCTGGCCTCCATTCCGTTCCCTGAATGTGCTGAGATGCTCCCCATCTGGCTGTTGCCTTCATCTGGAATGCCCCTCCCCAGATGGCGGCCTGCTCCACACCCTCACTTCACTGGGGTCTCTGCTCGAATGCCTTTTAATCCATAAGGTCTAAGTACCTTATATTACAGACCCCACCCTGGCCTGACCCTTCTCTGCCATGTTGTTTTGCAGCACTTCACACCTGCTGCCATACATCATTTTGATTTGTTCATCAGTTTATTGTCTGCTTCCCCCACTAGAATGTGAGCTCCTTGAGGTCAAGCCACAGTTTCATTCACTGCTGGGGATTCACTGAATCCCCAGTGCCTGTACATAATAGAGATAAATAATTGTTGAATGAATGGATAGTAGAGGTACTATCATTATCCCTTTTATAACAAGCCACTTTTGTTTTCAGTTTAATCGTCTCCTGTTGGGTAGTGAATTTCAAAAATATGAAATATCTTTGTATCTTATGACCACTTTGTATTGCCGTAAAATGATCTTATTCAACCTTCAGATTTTATTTCCAAGTTCTAATATCTGAAGGACTGAACTGTTTTCTTTCAGATCTTGAAAATAAGAAACCAAGTGTGTTTTCTTTTATTTGAGAGCCAGGAAATTTTGGACTAAGGTTGTTTATTATAAAGAAACTTTTTTCCTATTATTGATTGAATTATATAAACAAAGATGAAGTAGAAAAAATACTAACCACTCCCACTATACCACATTTTGATTCATTTTCTCATCTCTTCTTGGCAAAGCATACTTTATGTACTTGTAATCATGTGATATAAATCCACTTGAATTCTGATTTTAATCTATTTTTCTGGTTATAAATATAATGGATGCTTATTGAGCAATATTTGGAGAGTTCAGAAAATAAAAAATATAAAGATATTTTTAATTCTACTCATGTATTACTAAAATTTTGATGTATGTGCTAACAGTTGTTTTTTACCTTTGAAATTATTTTCATAGTTTAAATCATACTGAATATAATGATTATCAGGAATTTTACAAGCAGAGTATTCACATGTCCTTTAGGAAAGAGAATATGAACAGTCATAGTTTTAGATCTCAAATAAAAGTTACAGTCACAACCACAAATTCCAAAGCAGATCTTACTTGTCATCTCCCTATCCCTTAATTATCAACTTATAACTCTTGCAGCTACTGCTGGTGGGTTTTATGTCATTATTTCTAAATAATATTCCTATTCTACTACTCCTTGCTTTTTTTGGACATTATCTATCCACATCCTACTCTAGAAGATGAGACTTACCCCTTTGCCACCACAAACACACATGGGGTATGCAATGTTTATATACTTTCCCAATCGTCTCCCAAAATACGTATGTCACGCTTTTGCTTAAATTGCTGTTCAGTTGACATTACCATGATTATGTAAACACCATTCACAACTGAGCCAAGTAGTGTAGTATGGCAACATTTGCTTTTGTTTTCCTAAGGAATAATAATAATTGGGTCCTCTTTACATTTTCTTGGGTTTTATGCATTGATCACCAATTCGTCCACACCCTCTCCACCCCAGATGTGCATCTCTACCTTCTGTAGTAAAACATATCAGTTCCATTTCTTTTCCTCAGTAATATCCTTCCTTGAGCCTTTGTACGTCAGCTGCAAGCCTGATGCTAGCTGTCATTTCAGAATTTCCCTTTGCCATCAAATGTGCAAGTTCCTTCATTCTTCTCCTGGGCTAGAGAGCTGACTTTGTGATGCTATGCACGTCCCTTTCTTGGTTAATTTCCTCTTTTGGTGAGGCATACCCTCTTGCGGCTCCCCAAGGAAATGGGCAAGGGCAATAAATCTTTTGAAAAATGGTATACCTGAAATTATCTTTATTTTACCATAAATCTTTGAAAAGTATATATTTAAATATTTTATATGTTTGATATATTAATATATATGAATATATTAATAATAATTTTGAAGTTTTGTGTTGCTCATTTGGGGTCAGTTTTCTTCATGTTCCTATCTCCTGTTTACTAATATTGGTCTCTGCCTTTTACATTAGTCACTTCCCTAAATGTCTGCTGATCCTTGGCTATTCATTCGTATTTAAGAATGAATTACTGAAAGGATGACTGGTATCTCTGTATGCATGAGGGGGCCCTGACTCTTTAGCAAAACCTGCAAACCTACAAATGTCATATCCACAGGTCTTTTCTCTTGGGGAGGTTAAAACTCCAGCGACGAATCACTTTCAGAATTAATTTTTCTTCTGAGTCTTTAGTTCTAATGTCCACATTCCTTTTTTTGAAATGTATTTTTATATGTTCAATGTTTATTTTGGTTCCTCTTTACCCTGCTCCAAACAAGGGCATGTGGGTTGGCCTTTGCCCCTACTCTATTTGATTGAGAACTTGCCGAAAAGAGGAAGAAGAAAGATGAAAGAGGAAGAAGAAGAAAGAGAAGGAGAAGGAGGAGGAGAAGAGGGAGAAGAAGAAGAGGGAGAAGAGAGGGAGAAGGAGAAGAGGGAGAAGGGGAAGGAGAAAAAAAGAAGAACAATAAGAAGGAGAAGGAGAGAAGAAGAAAAGAAGTAGAAGAAGGAGAAAGAGAAGGAGGAGGAGAATGAGAAGGAGAGGGAGAAAGAGAAAAGAAGAAGTAAAAGATGAAAGAAAAAAAAGAAAAGAGTGAAGAAGAAAGAAGATCTGCTGGTGCAGAGGAGGCAGCTTTAACTTTCATTGCACTGCTTCCTAGCTAATACCTTATCCAGCTGGAATGAGCCTAAAATTTCTCTAAACCCACCTGCCTATCTGACTCTCTGTACAGACAGAGAAAATAAAAAGCTATGCCACCCAGTGTGTCCTACAATAAGACCTGTGTCTGATGTTGTCCCTGCTCATAGCAGATCCTAAATCTCACGTGCCTGCTTCCTATCCATTTGTACTCTGAGAGTTGTAGTTTCTAAGTACAAAAGGGATTAGAGGACAATGATGGGAATTGCATTCTGGTTGCTTCTAACAGCAGAAGTCCATGTGATAAATGGATGACTATAACATGTTCAGTCATTGTGATTCTATGCCAAAGGCAGACTCAGAGGCAGGATAACAGCCATTGATCACAGTTTCCGACATGTCCCATTAACCTTATGGTTGGTTCTAATCCCTTTTGATTCCATCAATGTGGTGCCCATTCCTGTTTTCAGCATTATAGAAATATTTTTCCTCATCTGTTTCTTTATGCATTACTTAATGGTTTGGAATCAGAGGGATGGTTTGAATCCCAGTTCTATTATTACATCATCTTTCTGGATTCTGGTATCTTAATCTGGAAAACAGGGATACTGTTATCTGCCTGGGAGGGTGTTTTGTTGATTAGATAAGACAGGCTGAGTGGATGATAAGCAAAGACTGGCATTTTTGTCTGCTCAGTAAATGATAGCAAACTCTTCTTCTGGTCCAGTGAGCCAGAAGACACTTTACACCAGAAGCCCCCAGAGAGCTAAATTTGATTAATTATAGTAAATTTAAAGAGATGACATCTTGGCCGGGCGCGGTGGCTCACGCCTGTAATCCCAGCACTTTGGGAGGCCGAGGCGGGTGGATCATGAGGTCAGGAGATCGAGACCATCCTGGCTAACAAGGTGAAACCCCGTCTCTACTAAAAATACAAAAAAAAATTAGCCGGGCGCGGTGGCGGGCACCTGTAGTCCCAGCTACTCGGGAGGCTGAGGCAGGAGAATGGCGTGAACCCGGGAAGCGGAGCTTGCAGTGAGCCGAGATTGCGCCACTGCAGTCCGCAGTCCCGCCTGGGCGACAGAGCGAGACTCCGTCTCAAAAAAAAAAAAAAAAAAAAAGAGATGACATCTTTTGTTGTGGAGTGCATTCTCCTTCTGCATAACTGTTAGTGCCATAGTCTGAGTCATTATTTCTAATCTTGAGTCATTCAAATCCTTTTAAAAATGGGAATATCAACCATTCAATCAATGAATTATTGTTCAGTTATTTCATCTAGATTTTTTTTGAACTGTGAAAACCAGTCATGCAAATTCATTTGATTTTATAAAGCATTGGAAGAATAGTTTGCGAATTATTGTAACTATGTGAATGACTACAGCTATTATTTAATATTTTAGAGTCAATAATAATCCATTATTGGAAATTCAAATAAGTAAGAAAATTGAAGCTTTGAATCCATAACTAATGAGGAAAGAACTATTATGTTTAATTGCAGATGGAGATTGATTTTTCAAATTACTTTTCAAAGTATTTAAAAATATCTGCTTGCTGGGTGCTGTGGCTCACACCAGTAATCCCAGCACTTTGGGAGGCCAAAGCAGGTGGATCACCTGAAGTCAGGAGTTCAAGACCAGCCTGACCAACATGGTGAAACCCCATCTCTACTAAAAATACAAAATTAGCTGGGCGTGGTGGTGCATGCCTATAATCTCAGCTGCTTGGGAGGCTGAGGCAGGAGAACTGCTTGAACCTGGGAAGTGAAGGATACGGTGAGCCAAGATCACACCGCTGCACTCCAGCCTGGGCAACAAGAGCAAAACTCTGTCTCAAAAAATAAATAAATAAAAATTAAAGTAAATAAAGAAAAATATCTGCTTTATTATGTACATGAAATCATCAGAAACTGATATTTAAGCTTCCCTTCCAAGTAACAAATGTCCTGATGCATTGTTAAGAAAAACTGCCCATCAGTGAGCTCTGCAGACCACATTGTAAGCACAATGGCTCATCTCCTTTACATTGAGAGCACAGTTTCCAGTTGCAAAGTGTATAGCAGCTTTTAATCTATCACCACATGGCAGGAAGGCATTACTGCAATACTTTCATTCTAGTGAAATCACCCTGAAGTCACAAAATGTGCTCGGGGTAACAGTGGCTTGTGGCACTGCGATAGAAACCTGCATTGTTAGGTCATTCATTTTGGGGCAGGGTTCCCATAAAAGGAAGTGGGTCTGGGCTGGAAATATCACCTCCTAGGAAATATGCAGTAAGATGGATTGTGTGCCTGAAGGTTAAACTCTTTTTCCAACAGGTATTCAATGGCATTAGAAGTAACTCACCCCAGCTAGAGAAACTGTGTAGTAGTGTGAATGTAAGCAATGAGATTAAATCTTCAGGAAACACAATGAAAGTCATTTTTTTCACGGATGGATCCAGGCCATATGGCGGCTTCACTGCTTCCTATACCTCCAGTGAAGATGCAGGTAATGTAGGATGTTGTAAATGCCCCCCATTTTAATCAGGGGCACTGCAGATGCCCCCATCTACTGCCAATGGCAGCAGAGCCATCCATTTTCCCTTTAGTGATACTTGAAATCTTTGACATAAGACAAACACACATAAGCAGATGAAAAACGCACTGCAGACAGAAAAAAAGCTTTCTGATTTCAGAAAGAAACTGCCATAGTGAATTTAAAACTTTTAATGCTATTAGATTAGCTTCTAGCACAGTTTCAGGTCATGTTACCATGAGGGTTGGTGACCTGTTCCGTAGTCCCTGGTCAATTCTTTTGTGCTGAAAGAAACCATCTACCTCCTAGAGGGTAACTTAGTCTCAGAGAGTAATTAATTTTGCTGGGGACAGAACAGGCTTTATTGTTTCTAGTCATCTATCCACACACATATTTCCAGTGAAAATAAATGGGAGGTTTGATTTGATATAGAATATTCCAAAATTAAGCAAGATATGGCCTCTAATTATAAATATCCTCCTATTTCCTGAATTGGGTTCAAAATTTTAAAGGGTTTTAAATTTTAGAAGTGGGAGTGTTTTAAAATTTAGAAGTTTTAAAATTTAGAAGTGGGAGTGAATATTAAAAGAAAAACGCTAAGTTATTTCATTGGTACAAGAAGCATCTGTTCCTTTATTAAAAGGGGGCAAATTAATGGCAAATTAATGTCCTATTATCTGTTTGATTTAAAATAATTTATTAGATCAAGTGGAGAATTGCTAATCAAGCCATTAGGACCTGCCACCATTATATTTATGTATTCCTCTAAAGTAAATATTAATGAACAGTAGGCCTCAATATTTGGACCTATTGATACAGAGCCAAACGCCCACCACTTAATCTACAGCAACAGGAAAATAGAGAAGTTGTTGATTTTTGCACATCTTTCCTTTATAAACTTGCAGAAACTTCCATAATTTGCATGCCTTTTACCCATAAGCTTGACTGCATCTAGAAAAACAAATCAAAGCAGTAATGTTGATGTTTTAGTTACTGTTCCTGTATTGTTTATCTCTTCCGTTGTGGCCTGAATCTTACTACTACTTTCTCTGTTGCCTTCTGTTTTCTTAGTGTGTGGTGGGTCTCTTCCAAATACTCCTGAAGGAAACTTTACTTCTCCTGGCTATGACGGAGTCAGGAATTACTCAAGAAACCTGAACTGCGAATGGACTCTCAGCAATCCAAATCAGGGAAATTCATCCATTTCCATTCACTTTGAAGATTTTTACCTAGAAAGTCACCAAGACTGTCAATTTGATGTCCTCGAGTTTCGAGTGGGTGAGTTCTATCTAAGAATGCGTTTTCCCATTTATCTACAATATTCTTTTTATCTTTTTTGTTGTTGTCGCTGCTGTTGTTGTTGTTTTGAGACAGGAGCTTGCTCTCTTGCCCGGACTGGAGTGCAGTGGTGTGATCATAACTCACTGCAGCCTCAACCTCCCAGGCTCAGGTGATCCTCTTGCCTCAGTCCCCCAAGTGGCTTGGACTACAGGTGTACATCACCACATACAACTAATTATTAAAATTTTTTGTAGAGATGGGGTCTCCCTATGTTGTCCAGGCTGGTCTCAAACTCCTGGCCTCAAGTGATCCTCCCTCTTTGGCCTCCCAAAGTGCTGGGGTTACAGGCATGAGCCACCACGGCTGGCCTACAATATTCTTCATATGCTTGGAGACTACTAACAATGAAGGGAGTCAAATGGCTCTAACATAGGTACACACGATCCAAAAGAACTCTGTTCGAAGCCATAATTCTGTGTGTGCCCAGCTGAGGAAAACGAACCCCAGGAACAGTGAGTGAGGCGGATCACTGTACAACTAGACTCTGTGTTACAGTCACTTCGTTTCCCGGCATGTGACTTTTGCCGAAGCGAGAGTCCACTACTATCAAGACTCCTTTCCAAGGAGACTGGGACTTAGCATGCTCAGCATGTGTTGGCAGTTTCCTGAACTTCCAGGATTTATGAAGGGGCTGTGAAATTCTCCTGAGGCCTTAGGAGTTAAAAGAAGTTTTGCAATATACCAGATGGAGAAACACATGGAAGCTATTTGGGGAAATAACCCCAAAGCAGTCATTTGTCTTGGTTTTCGTGATGGAAAAGGATTGCGGTGTACTCAATAAACCATAATTCTCTTAAGAATTTTTAAAACTCTGTATTCAAAGAGGATGAATCAATTTTCTTTCTTTCCCATAGTCAAGGTGTAGGTTATTCATTAGGTTGCTTCCATGATTATGCTGACACGTTTTTCTCAGTAAATAAACAAGTAGATAGAGGAAGACAATAATATTGTAAATAGTACGTAATCATCCATACTGTAAAAGTTTTGCTGAGTTCTGTGTAATCCCAAAATTTAAAGAAAAGGAGGCTGAAAGCAGCAGAAGCTCATCAGTTAGTTGGTGGAGAAGTCCTTGGGAAACTGAGAGGTCAATGTTAATTACCTTTGAGAACGTGAGCGACAGAATTTTCAGGAAGGAGAATTTGATAGAGCCTGTACCCACGGGCCAAGGGCCTCAGCCAGAGAGTCCTCCAACCTCTCTGAGGCTGAAGAGTCTAAAAAGGCTTATAAGGGAAAGGGAAGTTGTGGTTTGAGAATGTTCTCCATGGAATTCTGATAAACCCTCACCCCCTCTGCCTGTTTCAAAACCACCGGCTTGTGGTCTTAAGCAGAACAGCTGTATCTCAAATTTCAGTCAGCTAAATGCTGTCTTCTCTTTATTTGCTCAGGTTTAGAGGCAGTTAAAATACTATATATCATTGATTTAGAAGACCAGTGATGTTTATCTGACAGAATAAAAAGAAAGCAGATAAATGAGAGCTCTGTTGGTGCTCTGTACATGTTCATCAAACCCACGAAATGTAATCTTCATGAAAAATATTAGGCTCAGATCTGACAGCTCTTGGCCTGAATGCCGAATATGGAGTCCATTTCAGTTGATTGAATATAGTGAAGAAATCTTTCAAATTTTAGGCAATGATCACTTTATCTTGAGGATATATTTTATCACTGTTGGTATTATATTTCTTACACCCTACAAAAGGTGTGTCCAAAAGTGCTATTTTAATTCATTGTATCTCTGTTTAGATATGCTGAAATAACTATGAAAACACAAATTGGAACAAAATGGTGTCCATCATAGAGGTTCATTTCAAAATTGCTTTGATTTTTTTGTGTTTGTTTTACCCCCTTGGAGGGACTTTCTGTTGCAGTTAACAGAGACACACAAATATTGTGCAATGTCTGCTACTAAATCAGAATTTAAGTGTGTGTCAATGAATATCTTGAAATTTGTTTTTATCAAATTCATTGAATGTATTTCTCAAAAGCTGTATCAATGATGGCACTTGGTATATTATTTTGTTCAGGTGATGCTGATGGGCCCCTGATGTGGAGACTTTGTGGTCCTTCAAAGCCTACATTGCCATTGGTTATACCTTATTCTCAGGTATGGATTCACTTTGTCACCAACGAACGTGTAGAACACATTGGATTCCATGCAAAGTATTCCTTTACAGGTAAGAATTATAATTAAGATCTTGATAAAATTACTTATAAAGATTAATGATTTTTTTCCATAAAGATTTCATATATATTTTGTTAGATTTATTTCTACATAGCTATTAGTTTTGTTAATATTATCAATGAGATTTTCTAAATTACATTTTTTAATTGGTTGTGGCTGATATCTAGAAATTTTATAATTTGCATAATTTAAAATTATTATTTAATTTTAAAATTATTCAATAATAAACTGCATAATTTTAAAATTATTAAATTTTAAAATTATCCAATAATTATTTAATAATTAATAATAATAAATAATTATTAATAATAATTATTATTTAATAATTTTAAAATTATTTTGTAATTTGCATAATTATTATAAATTTTATAATTTTGCATACATGTAACTTTAGTCCAAAGATCTAGCTATCCTCTTATTAGTTTTAATATGTTGTCTATAGATTCTCTTTGATCTTTCTGTGTAAACTTCTGCAAATGTTAGTTCTTTATGCTTTCAGTCATAATACAGAATTTCATTTTCTTGCATCCTTTTGCTAGCTAGGGCCACCATCGAATATTGAACAGAAGGAATGATAGCATCTTGTTTCTGACCTGGATGTGACTATGACATTTTATTATTAAATATATTGGTTGCTCTTAAGTTTCCAATAAATATCTTTTGTTAAAGAAAGTCCCTTCCATCCTTAGTGTGAAAAAGCTTTTTTTAAATGTAAATGGGCATAGGATTTTATCAGATGATTTTCTGCATCCATTGAGATGATTCAACTTTTTCTCCTTTCATAAGTTAATGTGATGAATTATATGAAAGATTTATTTCTCTTGGTAAACCATCCTTGCATTTCTGGGATAAATCCTATTTTGTCATGATGTGTGTTTTATACATATAATGGGTATTATTTGCTAGTGTTTTGTGTTGGATTTGCATATGCAACATTCAGAGTTTGTGCTGGAAAACCCAGCCCTACTCTTGACTGCTTCCCTTGGCAATGGGAGGTTTTCTAGTCCCTTTTCACGAGCATGCCAGTTTGTTTAGATTCCCAACTTCTTGTAAAAGTCTCAATTCCAGTCCTGCCTTCTGTGGAGACCCAGAGCCCTATCTTCTCCTCCTACCCAGTCATCAAAACCTCAGAGCCCAACCCTGGGACCCAAACCTGCATTCTTTACCCTCTCAGACTTCACTCTTTCACTTTCACTCCTCTCACTTTGAGTACACTTACTGCTTCTAGATTTTGGGGAGCTGCTTTTCTTTCCATTGAGTTTGCTATGAATCAAAATATGTTTTAGTTATGGTTTTATCTAACATTCCTTTGTGTTATAACCAAATGGCTGGTTGAAGAAGGAGTGAAATTGATTATCTACTCACTCAACCATCTTGCCAGTTGATTTTCCTTCATCAGATTCAAAGAAGAGTCAGGTTTCAGTAAACAGTATTATTTGTATTGAACATCAGACCATATTATTCTTCAGAAATGTATTTTTTTTTCAATTTTCAATTTTCTATGCTAATACCGTATGGAATTTTGTTATTCCTAAACTTTTACCCAATTTTACTTTTCTTCTATTTAATTTCATTTATTTTATACATATATATACATAAAATATACATACACAAAAAAATACAAAATATATATATACAAATATATATACTATATATACACAAATATATATGTACTATATATATACAAATATATATATACTATATATACAAATATATATAGTATATATATACATATATATACTATATATATAAATATATATACTATATATACAAATATATATACTATATATAGTATATACAAATATATATATACTATATATAGTGTGTATATATATACTATATATGGTGTGTGTGTGTATATATATATACTATATATGGTGTGTGTGTATATATATACCCTATATATGGTGTGTGTATATATATATATACACACTATATATGGTGTGTGTGTATATATATACTATATATGGTGTATATATATACACACTATATATGGTGTATATATATATATACTATATATGGTGTGTGTGTGTGTGTGTATATATATATATATATATATATATATATACTATATATGGTGTATATATATAATATGGTTTTTTTTTGAGATAGAGTCTTGTTCTGTCACCCTGACTGGAGTGCAATGGCATGACCTCGGTTCACTACAGCCTCCACCTTCTGATTCAAGCGATTCTCCTGCCTCAGCCTCCTGAATACCTGGGATTACAGGCAGACGCCACCAAGCCCAGCTAATTTTTGTATTTTTAGTTGAGATGGGGTTTCACCATGTTGGCCAGGCTGGTCTTGAGCTCCTGACCTCGGGTGATTTGCCCACTTCGGCCTCCCAAAGTGCTGGTATTACTGGCGTGAGCCACCATGCCTGGCCTTACTATGTTTTTAATCACAAAATCTGATGGTTATGATTACTACTTACTTTGGCATTATCGGTTCTTTTTTTTACTTCTGTTTTATTGAGAGGGTTACCAATCTCATTTCAGATTGTGGCGGAATACAGATAGGTGACAGTGGAGTGATCACAAGCCCCAACTATCCAAATGCTTATGACAGCCTGACCCACTGCTCTTCGCTGTTGGAGGCCCCACAAGGGCACACCATCACTGTGAGTGCTAATGACTGGGTGAAATGCTTCTGAGACAATAGAACCACAATAGCCTGTCCTGCATGAAAATGGAGCTCTTTTATTAAGCAAGTGATTAGAGAAGGCTTTGATTCTACAATGAGATCACTGTTTTTCCCTAACATTTTCTCACTAGAGCACATACATTGGCATTTATTATTCATGAAGAGTGAAATCTCTTTTTTAAGCATAGGGAAAGATATACACAGAAGATAATTCTGCGTCTTAGAGAGAAGTGTATTCAGTTTCTTAATATGTGTTGCCATCCCAAACCAGGGAAATGTCTTTTCTCAAAATTTCCAAGAGAACCTTCAATAAGGAAAAAAAAGTAGAGGGGAAGGGAGAATTAAATAAGAGACAAAAATACAAATTATAAAAATAAAAACAAAATTAAACGATTTGTAAGGGCCTTATCTTCGTAACAGTTGATAAAAGCTCACTGACAACCATTTTCTTTTTTCTCCTGCAGCTCACATTTAGTGACTTTGATATTGAACCCCATACAACTTGTGCTTGGGACTCTGTCACTGTCAGGAATGGTGGGTCCCCTGAATCACCCATCATAGGACAATACTGTGGAAATTCAAACCCCAGGACAATACAGTCAGGTTCCAATCAGCTGGTCGTGACTTTTAACTCAGACCATTCATTGCAAGGTGGTGGATTTTATGCTACGTGGAACACACAAACTTTAGGTAAAAGAAATGTTTGCTCCATTTGATTTTCTTTTTAGTGATGTATAGTATGAACTCATAATATGTACATTTTGTACCTACTTTACATCAGGCTTAGTTCTAAATATTTGCACATGTCATCTCATGCAGCAACCCTGGTGGGATAACACAATATCAATACCTGGCATCTCTATTTTGCATGGGCAGAGACTGAGGAAGCATGGGTTGATCATTTGCCTAGATACATAGCCGATAATTGGTAGAGTCGGGATTTGAATAAAGGCAATTCAGTCCAGAAACTTTGATCTCAACACTTCATGATGCTGCCTTCATCGGCAAAAGGGTATGGCACAACCTGGGAATCTCAAGTAATAGAAACATGAGTTGGAATCCCAAGTGCTTGAAAATATCTGGAGCCTAAAAGCAGAATGCTGAGTGGTGAGCTGAGGGCAGGAAAATAAGTCCACAACATAAAGAGCCTTGGTTTATATGTTATCCCTTGAACAATGGGAAACTGTTGAAGAGTTTTGAAAACGAAGGTGACAAGATGAGATTTGTAATTTAGAACAAATGCTGTAGTGAATGGGTCCTGAGTCAAAATATGACAGATTTCATTTTAAAAGAATAGTTTTTGTGCATAGAAAGTATAAACATTGTGAAAATTCTCAGAAAATACAAGGACTTGTATCACATACTTTATTAGGGATTTCTGTAAATCTTGTATATCACACAAGACAATTATTTCTGGTAGAGTCACAGTTATTATGAAGCTCTTTGTTGACTGAGTCAGACTTCCCCTGGTTAACAACCACTGGCTGTTATTGAAGTGAGAAGGGAGTTTTAGGTGAATCCCTGATTTCCAGGGGTTTCACAGCAAAAGATTCGGAGAATGCCTCTTTAACTTCATTTTGTTTTGTATGAAAATTCTAGATTTTTCTTCCTTTGAATCTACATAATTAATTTTGATCCATCAGTCAGTTTCAATATGAATCAATCAGATTGCTTAATAAAAGAATTTTCCCCAACTCAAAATCACTTTCTCTAGTCCAGTTAGAGTAACGTTGCAAATGGAGTGTAGAGTAATATTCTCATGTGTGAATGGTAATAAAATACAGAACTTAGCATTGCCAGGTTACATATACTACATAGGCTCAAAGAGAATAAAAATACAGCTCTTGTTTGGAGACAGGATGGAAATCTATCCTCTCTATGGCACGGATTAGTGTTCTTGGTTGAATTCAATATCATTGTAACACAACTGTAACAGCTGAAATTTTCTCTCAATTTAACTCACCTTTCCATTTATGGAGAGAGCTTGCTGTGCACCTGACTGGAAGATGATCACTTGTAAAAAATGATGAATTGAAATCTCACATTTGGAAATGTTCCTTCTGTAGCAGTCTTGAGTTTCCAAAATTACTTTCCTTGCTGATTGATGGCTTTTTACATGGCAATATTTCAGGTTGTGGTGGAATATTTCATTCTGATAATGGTACAATCAGATCCCCTCACTGGCCTCAGAATTTTCCCGAAAACAGCAGATGTTCCTGGACGGCCATTACTCACAAAAGTAAACACTTGGAGATCAGCTTTGACAACAACTTCCTAATCCCCAGCGGTGATGGACAATGTCAGAATAGCTTCGTGAAGGTTAGTACACTTGTTCATTTAATTGGAGCCAAGTTGGTTTTGTGAACATTAGTGTTTAAGCTAGAAATGATTCATTGTCGCTCAAAGTAAGAAAATTTTGCTGCCTGGATTCCTTGGATGAAAAGTGAGAAAGTGAGAAACCTCAACTGTTAGGAGCTAGAATTTCTTTTCTTTCTTACTTTTCTAATAGATCCTAAAGGGAAAAATGCCCTTTATAATATAGGGCACTACCACAGGCAAAATTTAAAGCATGCCACAAAAATTACGGAACGTTGAAGGAGCAGCTAATGCCAGCCTTCACCTTGGGCATTAAGACCCCACAGTCTGAAAAAACCGTGAGAAAGCCATGTAAAAATGATGGGAATGGGGCATCAGGAGAGCAAAGCTCTTTCAAAATCTAAAGTTATAAATGCTGCTCGTGTGGCAGTGGCTTGTCACTTTCCACTGACTTGTGACTATGATGACTGTCTTAGAAATTCATTTCATCTGTACTGTTTTGCATCTTCCAAGTTATATCTCTAAAAGTCTGTGACTTTTAGAGAAAGAGTGCCTTATTTCCACTGTGCCTTTCCAGTGGAAATAACACTGGTCACGTTAGCCCCTCCATTCATGTCTGTCATACCTACCACCTGCATGTTCTTCTCTGAGCTACTTAAACAATTGGCCTTTAAGTTATTCAACTGTAGAATGAAGAGCATGATTCCTTCTTCAGTGGGGCTGTTTTAAGCATTGGAGATAATACGATGTAATAACATAGGTAGTGCTAAGTACTTGGAATTTAAAGTCACTTGATGAGTCAAAGTGGCTTTTATTGTCAGTGTTATTACTTCCTATCAACTCTCAAATGATGTTTTATATCTCATTGACCCATGCTTACTGTTTAAATGAAAATCTCATATGTGTATAACATATATATATATATATATATACATATAATAAAATACATTTAATATACACTTTTCTTAATGGCTTTTTCCATGAACTAAATGAACTCTCTTCTCATGAAATGAATCAATATCAAGTATTCAGACTTAAGTAAAACTTTCAAGTGCTCCAGTTGTAAAACTGGAATGTGGAAAATGGCCTAGGCTCATTCCTTCTCTGGATTGAATGGGGGTCCCTCTGATAACATCGGGCAAGCCCAACGCTGCTGCCGAGTGGGATGTATTAGGAACCCTGCCAAAAATAAGTGGCCGTGGGAAGCACTCGTCTTCTCCTAATGGGCCCGAGATGCTTGTTTCTGCCAAGAAATGCTGTGTGGGTGGACGGAACCAGTAAAGGGACCCAGCTTCGGCAAGCAGCCCCCGCAGGAAGCCACTTAACACCTGTAAAGCTGAGATTCTCTTTACCCACCCAGAGACACCAGGGTAGGTGGGACTGGAAAAATGGGTCCCAGTCACAGAAAGGGGCCAGTCTGGGAAGCCTCTTTGTCCCCACAGGCCAGACCTGCTCCTCTTCCACCCAGAGACATTGAGGTACCCGGGGGTATTGGTAGGGGAAAATTACTATACCCTTTGCCTTCAACTGAGAAACACACAGAGTCCCTCAGGTAGCACCAGCAAGAACCAGTGAGAGCCCCGGTAGCACCAATGTAAACCAAGCAGACCAGAATTCCACCACACAGATTCTGAATATTGAAGAGCAACTGGAACTGTAACCCACAAAATGTGCAAGGCACGTGGTAAACATAAACAGGGTGACAGCCTGCTAAAATAAAAGATTTGAATAGGACCCAAAGTTCCCTAACATAATAAATGACATGTCCTGGGTACAATCAGAAAGAACACGTTGTATCAGGAATCAAGAACATCACAACTTGAAAGAGAAAAGAATCAAGTGATGTCAACAGTGAGATAAATCAGATGTTGAAATATATGACAAGGATGTTGAAGTAGTTTCCATTAACATGCTTCAACAATCACTGACGAGCTCTCTTGAAACAAATAGAAAATATCAGCAAAAAAACAATGGTTACAATAAAGAACTAAATAGAAATTATAGAACTGAAAAATACACTAACATAAATAAAGAACATGCTGAATAGGCTCAATAGTAGCATGGAGATGACAGAGAATAGAATCAGTGAACTTGAAGATAGAACAATAGAATTCACCCAGTCTGCACAATAAAGAGAAAATAGACTGAAAAAACAAACAAACTAGATCAACACAGACTTAGGGACTCATGGACAGTAACAAAAGATTCAACATTCTCTCAAAGGGAGAGGAGAGAGTGCAGCTGAAAGAACAATCAAAGAACTAGTGGCTGTAAACTTTCCCAAATTTGGCAAAAGAGACACACCTATAGGTTCAAGAAGCTGAGTGAACCTAAACCAAGATAAACACAAAGAAATGTAAGTTCAGACATATCTTAATTAAACTTCTGAACACTGAAGGCAAACAAAAAGTCTTGAAAGCAGTCAGAGAGAATTGGGACATTACCTAGAGAGGAAGACCAGTTAGAATAAAAGCAGATTTCTCATCTGAAACCATGGAGGCCCTAATGAATTGACAATATATTCTTCAAGTGCTGAAACAAAGGAATTGTCAACCATACATTTTATATCTGGAAAACTATCTTTCAGGAGTAAAGAGGAAATAAAAACTTCTCATATGAAGGTAAACTAAACAAAATTATCACTAGGAAACCTACCATTAAAGATGGTCAAACAGAAGTTCTTCAAACAAAAATGAAATTATTAAAGAACCGTGGAGCATGAGAAAAGAAAAAGGAAAGTGGAAAAAGCAAAAATATGTGTACATACAATAGAATATCCTTTTCCCCATAAAGCTTGTGAATCATATTTAATAAAACAAGAAATTATAATGCCCTCTGTTATTCAGTATAATGATATGGAAAAGTTGAAAGGGGACCTAAATGGAAATCACATTTCCACAAGTGGTCAGATGTGGATGGTGGTAGACTACTATAATCACATAGGCACATTGTCACACACAGAACAACCACTACCAAAACTGTGTGAAGAAATGTACAGAAAAACGCTAATATCAATCAAAATGGAATCCCCAAGATATCAAGAAAAGAGAAATAGAGGACCAAAAAGCAGATAAAGTAAACAGAAATTATATAATAAAATGTAGACACAGAACTGATATATATCAGTATAATTGTAAATAGTTTAGTTAGACCAATCACAATACAGGTTATCAAGCCAAAACATGATCTAAGTGATAATAAACTGATTTCCAATTCAACCACGTAGGTACATGAAAAGTAAAAGGATGGAAAAGGATGTCATGCAAAGGTTAACCAAAAAAGCAGGAGTGGATATATTTATATCTGATGAAGTAGACTTTAGAGTACAGAAAATTACAACAGAAAAAGAGGAATCTTACATAATGATAAAAGGATCAATCCACCAGGAAGACATAATGATCCTCCTAAATGTGTATGCACCAAACAACAGAGGCACAAAATACATAAAGCAATAACTGATAGAGCTAAGAAGAGAAGTAGACAAATCTTCGGTTATAGCTGAGGACTTCAACACTCTCCTCTCAGTAATTGATAGAACAACTAGACAGATAATTGACAAGGATATAGAAGAACTCTACAAAACCATCAGTTAATAGGATCTGATTGACATATATATGTGTGTGTGTGTGTGTATATATATGTGTGTGTGTGTGTGTGTGTATAAATATATATATGTAAAATACACCACACAGCAACATCAGAATACACAATTTTTTAGGAACTCTTGTAACATTCCAAGGTAGATCATATCCTGAGACATGGAAAAACCTCAACCAAGTCAAGGAATTGAAATACAGAGTGTGTTCTTTGAGTATATTAAAACTGAACTAAAAAACAGTAACAGAATATCTTATTAAGCACTGAGCTGAGCTGGAGAGAACTGAGCTGCCAATTGTTGGAGCAGCTAATTAAAACAACAGGCCAAAATGTAAGTAACAGTCCTGTCTTTCATCATTTTCTGCTGTGGTGTAAGAGGCCAAACAGGAGAAAGCTCTGTCTCCCTCAATCGTCCATTCTTTCCCATGGGAAGTGCCTGGTAAGGATCAGATGGATCAGTGTAGATATAGAAATGGTCTCATTGCCAAGTAAGCCCCAAACAAATATGTGCAGGATCTGAGTGCTAAAAATAATGAAATGCTGGCATAAACCTAAATGAAAGAGACAATTATATTTATGAATTGGAAGACTCAACATAGTAAAGATGTCCCTTCTCCCCAAAATGATGGATAGGTTTAATGCAATTCCTATCAAATTTTCTCCAAAGTCTTTTGTAGGCATAGACAACTTTTTCCACAACTTATATGAAGGCAGAGACCCTTCAATGGCTAAAAGAATCTTGGAAAAGAAGAATAAAATGGGAGGAAGAATTCTACCTTACTATTTACCTAGGCTTACTTATCTAAGTTACAGTAATCAAGACAATGTGGTATTGGTTGAAAACCCAGATGAAAACAGAGAACCTAGAAATACACTCACACAAACATCCTCAATTGATTTTTGACAAAGGTGCAAAAACTTTCCAATGTAGGAAGAATGGTTTTTTCAACAAATGGTACTAGAGCAATTGAACATCCACAGGCAAAAAATATGAATCTCAACCTAAACCTCATTATTTTGTAGAAAACCTCACTCAAAATAGATGATAGACTGAAAAGTAAAATATAAAACTTCTAGAGAAAAAAAAATAGCAGATGTCTTCAGGACCTGGAGATAGGCAAAGAGGTCTTAGATTAAACAACAAAAGAATGATTCATAAGAGAAAAAATAAAATGATAAATTTTACCCCATTTAAATTAAAAATCTTATGCCATGTGAAATATTTTCATCCAGTCTGTAGCCAGTCTGTTCATTTTCTTCACATAGGCAATGTACTACTATGTAAAATATATAAAGAAGTCTCAAACTCAAGAGTAAAATACAAACAGTTCTATTAGAATATGGACAAAAGACATGGGCAGATAGTCCACCAAAGAGACTCTACAGATGATAAATACCAGAAAAGATGTTCAACGTCATTAACTTCTGGAGAAGTATGAATTAAAACCACAGTGAGCTATCACTACACACCTATTCGAAGACAAATATTTACCAATTGCATAATATTTACCAATTGCACTCTGGGCATTTATCCGAGAGAAATGAAAACTATGTTTACACAAAAACTTGTTTACGAATCTATATAAATAGCACCTTTATTTGTAATAGCTGAAACCAGCACTAAGGCCTTTCAACAGGTGAATGGTTAAACAAATTGTGGTACTTGCTTACCGTGGAATGTAACTCCTGAATAAAAACAAACTATTTATAGATTAACAATCTGGACAAATCACTGAGGGATTATGCCAAGTGAAAAAAGGCAGCCTCCAAAGATTACATACTCTGCTGTTCCATTTATATAATATTTTGAAATGATAGTGTTTTAGAAATGGAAAGCAGAGAGCCAGAGGTTAGAGAGAAGGCAATGTAGGAGTAAATTGTGTGTGGTTATAAACAACAAAAGCAACTTAGGGATTCCTGTGGTATTGGAATTTCAGTATCTTGAATGCAATTGTGTACAACTTGTATATAACTTAATACACACACACACACACACACACACACACGAGTTCAAGTAAAACTAGGAAACTGAGTAAAATTGGTGTTATGTCAATGCCAGTAACCTGGTTGTGATAGTATACTACAGTTTTGCAAGATGTCAGTATTGGAGGAACTCAGAAATGTGTACAAGGAATTTCTCCATATTATATCTTACAAATGTATGTGAATCTGCAATTATGTCTGTAAACATTTGTTTAAAAAATAGTTGAATGATAAAATATAACCTACAACCTGACTGAATTATATAGAACACTAAGAAAAATCAGAAAGTTTTTGACCTGATGACAGTTAAGTAACATTTTGTAGGTTCAATATAGTTTTGATGAGTCCTCTGTCATATAGCCAATGAAATGAGTTCTTGATAGGCAAGGCAGAAATGAATATTGAATAACTCTTTACCATTGTCATCACCATTATCATCATTATTATTAAACTTATGTTCCCAGGCCAAAAGGTAGAGTTGTCGAATCTATAATTAATGACTTCAGAAAAGTATAAGCACTTAAGCATTCTTGGATTCCTTCATTAAAGAACTTGAGGCTCTTTATTAAGTTTTAGCCCTTCTTACTTTGCCTGTTTAGTAATGTTTGTAAAAATATAGTATATGGCCCAGGCATGGTGGCTTATGCCTGTAATCCCAGCACTTTTGGAGGCCAAGACAGGCAGATCAGTTGAGTCCAGGAGTTTGAGACCAGGCTGGGCAACACGGGAAAACCCCATCTCTGCAAAAAAATACAAAAAACTAGCCAGGCATGGTTGCACGCACCTGTAGTCCCAGCTACTTGGGAGGCTGAGGTGGGAAGATCACCTGAGTCCAGAAGGTCGAGGCTGCGGTGAGCTGTGATTGTGCCACTGCGCTCCAGCCTGAGTGAGAGTGAGACTGTCTCAAAAAAATACATATATATATAAAATATATATACAGATTATCTATTGATAAATTGTGTTTATAATTTTATGAAATGTGGATAAAAAACTGCCATATACTGTTTCCTTGGATATATTATTAGGGGGAAATCTAATTAGAGATCATTAAGTAAAATTGAGTAGGTGCATTTTTTTTCCTGACATTTTTATTGATCTTAGGCATTTGGCAGAATATCTGCACTTTTGTTCTCAGTAGGTCCAGCGCCAGGCACCTCCCTTATCTAATAAATGGCTAATATAATTTGTCTTCAGTAGGATGACTAACAGCTGGATACCCAGTGCTTAAAAATCAATTGAAACAATACGGCTTTAAAGAGCTGAGAATTATTAAACCAATGCTATGAATCAGTGCTATTTCACATCTCTTGCTATGGACTGATTTCCCAATAGAAATGTTTTTAATGACTTGATGTTTTATTGCTGTGGGTGAGGAATATCCTTGAGAAGAGATGTGTTTGGAATGAGTAATTTGGTATCATTCCATGTGAAGAAAATGTTGAATAGTCAAGTAAGATTAATACACATCCAACTACATCCTTGTTTGAGATAGTTGTCTGTTGATAGAAAGGGCATATTGGGTATTGCAGATTGTGTAGCAATAGTCCTGGCCCCTACCCACTAGATACTACCCATCACACCGAGTGTGACAATAGAAAAATGACTACAAACCTTGCCAGAGGTCCCAAAATTGCTCCTAGTTGAGACCTCTGAACTAGGACGAGCTTCTCTGGTTAATATGTTTAATGTTTTTGGGGTTTTTTTCCCCCAAGTTTTGTATATTCATTACCTAATATGCATACTTTCCTTGAGTGACTCAGCATTGTAGATAACCATGATCTCTCACCTGAACTAGGGCAAAACCTACCTGACTGTTTTCCGGCATCCTTTCTGACTCCTATTTTCCGAATTGTAATGTTTTCCAAAAACCAATCTTCTTGGTGGCTCCTTGCTGTATTCAGGACAGTGGCCCGAGTCTCTAACGTGTCCTGCAGCCCCCTCTGCAGGCTTCCTCACCCCTTCCTCCTTGGTTTTCTCTCTCTTCTCTGAACTAGCCACGGCCTTTCCTGCCATCGGGGTTCGCTCGGGGCAGGCTCACTTCCCCCAGTTAGGTAAAGCCACCAATTATATATTCTCAACAGCCCCATCATAATGCCTTGTTTATAGCTGGAATTTTGCATGTAAATTTATGATTCTGTGATTCATGTCTCTGTTTTTCCCTGGACTGATAAGAATTGGTTTGATTTGGAATTTTGGTGCTCACCGTTTATTTCCTAGCAACTGTTTTTTGCATGAGTATATAAATTCAGTCATTCGAGGTGGCCAGACCAATTAAGTGACAGCCCAGGTCTACTTGGGAGTTGCCAACCAAATTTTTGGTGAATAGCACACACTGACTGGATGTCAGCTTTTCATCAAAATGGACCCTACAATTCCACACAGCCAAGAAGTGTTCTGATTTATTCCATTTCATGCTGATTATACGTATACTTGGAATTCATGCCCACTTTCTTCATGCACCACGATGTGCCTCTTGCTTGCTGGTGTTGTCCAGCTGTGACCACAATCTGCTATCTTCCCAGGAGCAGGGCTGAGTTCCACCTGGCTGCTCCGTCTCCCTCAGCACCCGGGAAGCTCGGCTAGGTCAGGGCAACTAGAAGTTATGAGGAAACCGAACAGTGATCCAGGAAGGTGGATTTTTAAAAAATCACCACCCAGCTATGCAAAAAGGAACACCATCTCCTTAGAGAAGTCAAGAATGGGACATGCTATTTTAAAAACAGCTTTAAAAAAATTATTCTCAAAAGAAAATACTACAGATTTGTCCATGTTTTGTTTACTCTTATGCTTAGTTCTGTATACGTGTGAGTGCCATTATTTTGAAACCTAAGTGCATTAAAATATTGATGGGAAACCCTTGAGCATTAAAGTTCTGTGTATGTCCGTGCTAGGTGTGGGCAGGAACTGAGGAGGTGGACAAAGCCCTGCTAGCCACTGGCTGTGGGAACGTGGCTCCGGGTCCCGTTATCACACCAAGTAACACATTCACTGCCGTCTTCCAGTCTCAGGAGGCACCAGCTCAGGGCTTCTCCGCGTCCTTTGTTAGCCGTAAGTAGCCCTAAGAACCAAACCCAGAGGTCTTTGCGGGAGTGTGGTTGTCACAGGCAGGCAGGGTTGGCTAAACCTGGGGGTCTAGGGGAGGAGTATGGGGGTCTACGGGGAGGATGAGTCACCTAATCCCAAGAAGACACCTTTCTTCCAAATAGCAGTGAGAACAGAACTGAATTGAGAAGTGATATAAAAGCCATGAGGGGCACTAACCAACGTCTAGAAATAAGCCTGGCATCCAGAGTGGGCTGATATTGGGCAGAAGCGCAGATGGCTAGTTCGTTAGCAACAACCAGTGTGGCTGGCCTGTGGCACCTTGACCACAAAATCCCGTGGGGGGCTTGAAACACATGCAGATTCCTGAGCCTCACTCCAGGCCCAACTGAATTCAGAATTTCCATGACGAAGTCTTTCCTGTTTTTTTTTTTTTTTTTTGACACGGCGTCTCACTCTGTCGCCAGGCTGGAGTGCAGTGGTGCAATCTCGGCTCACTGCACCCTCCACGTCCTGGGTTCACGCCATTCTCCTGCAACCTCCACCTCCTGGGTTCAAGCTATTCTCCTGCCTTAGCCTGCCGAGTAGCTGGGACTACAGGTGTGTGCCACCATGCCCAGCTAATTTTTTTTTTTTTGTATTTTTAGTAGAGACGGGGTTTCACCATGTTGGCCAGGATGATCTTGATCTCTTGACCTCGTGAACCGCCCGCCTCGGCCTCCCAAAGTGCTGGCATAAGCCACCGTGCCCGGCCGGTCTTGCATGTTTTAACTGTCATCCAGAGGGTTCTCATGCTAAGTCAACTTTGGGAGCCAGTTTCTTTGGGAATGTTCTTTCCTAATTTTGATTAGGAAGGATGGATCTCCTTTTCTAGCTATTGTACACTATTAGATTCGTGGGAAATGTAGCATTTTTCAAGTCAGAGAAGCAATGGTGTGTGCCTGTTGGCTGAGTTAAATCAAGTGTAGCCACTCATGGCAAACCACTGTTTAGGGAAAAGTTTGAGGAAAGGAATTAGAGGAAGTAATACAGTAGACAGGTTTTTCAGACTGAATCAGAGAGTGCTGGAAAGGAAGTACTGAAAGACAACCCTAGACCAAATCTTAGGTCTGCAGGTGGTTCACTGTGTAAGTGTGCACGTGTGTACTTGTGTGTGTTTTAATGTCAATTTAAAAGGATAGAGATATTTTCGTGCTTGATAGATCAGAGAGTGAAGTGGATTAACTAGTCAATGGTTATATGAAAACAAATCATTTTAGTGGTGAAAAGATATTTCTTTCTGTTTCGAAAACCAGGGATGCATGTAAGAATTTGATAAGAGTTGGGATTAATAAATCCAGCTAGTTTTAAAAAGCAACCATTGTTGTGGCTAGATTACAATGGTAATGAAAATAGCAGTTTTCTAATAATAAGACATTTTAAAAACATTAATTGTGTAAAGTACTAATCAGATACAAATCATTTTTTATCTGTTTTATTTCTTTATCTGCATGAACCATATTCTATCATTGCTCGTTTATCCTTTCTTAATATCTTAATATTAAGGGATTTGCAGTAGATTTGTGGTAATATTACGAGGACTCAGTCCATAAAACTCTGCAGCATTTTCTAAAAATGTATAATATTCTTATTAAGCACATATGTATGTTTTTAAATCAGAGCTTTATTCTCTTCATTCTTGCTTCTTCCATTTGGAATATCTCAGGGAACTATGTCTATAGATAATTTAGGAAAATGCCTCTTTCCTTCATGGACAAAATAGATACACGAGAAATAAATGATCTGATGATGACTTTTTGTTCCCACATAGGATGTGGAAGTAATTTCACTGGCCCTTCAGGTTACATCATTTCTCCAAATTACCCAAAACAATATGACAACAACATGAATTGCACCTATGTCATAGAGGCTAATCCTCTGTCAGTGGTCCTCTTGACTTTTGTGTCCTTCCACTTAGAAGGTAAGTTTATTCTTTTAAAAAAATTACGTTTAATTGACAAACAAAAATTGTATATTTATGGTGTACAACATGTTTTGACATATGTACATGTTGTAGAGTGGCTAAATCCAGTTAATTAACAT
Source organism: Homo sapiens (assembly GCF_000001405.40). Taxonomy (NCBI): domain Eukaryota; kingdom Metazoa; phylum Chordata; class Mammalia; order Primates; family Hominidae; genus Homo; species Homo sapiens. The sequence goes on along the minus strand of NC_000010.11, from coordinate 16,888,294 downwards.
GTCTGCTCACTCACTTACTTAGCACTTTTTGTGGGGAGAGCATTTAAAACCTCTCTTAGCAATTTTTAAGTATTCGGCAAGTAATCAAGTATTTCAGGTATTCAACCTTGTTATTCGCTATTGGCACCATGTTGTACAGTAGATCTCCTGAACTTATTCCTCCTAGCTGAAATTTTGTATCCTGTGACCAATATATCCTAAATCTCCACTCCCACATACCCTACCAGCCTCTGGTAACCACCATTCTACTCTCTGCTTCTATGAGTTCGACATTTTTAGATTCCACATCCAAGTGAGATCATGCAATGTTTGCCTTTCTGTGTGTAGCTTATTTCACTTAGCATAATGTCCTCCAGGTTCATCCATGTTGTCACAAATGACAAGATTTTATTCTTTTTTAAGGCCAAAGAGTATTCCATTGTGTATATCTACCACATTTTCTTTATCCATTCATTCACTGGTGGACACTCAGGTCCATTCCATGTCTTGGCCATTATGAATCATGCTGCAATGAACACGACAGTATAGATAATCTCTTGGACACGCTGATTTGATTTCCTTTGGATCTATGCCCAGAAATGAACTTGGTGGATCATATGGTAGTTCTATTTTTAATGTTTTGGGAAACTGCCATGCATTTTTCCATAATGGCTGCACTAATTTACATTCCCATCAAAAGTGTACGAGGAAGAGTTCCCTTTTCTCCACATCCTTGCCAAAACTTATCTCTTGTCTTTTGATAATAGCCTTGGAAGATAAGTTCATTCTTAAGTAAACTCTAATTGGTTCTTCAGAAATGAATGAGGAGTAAGTAGAGGCAGAAGTCTAAAACTCACCATTTAAAGAAAATATTGAAAATATGTTACAGAGTAGATTTAATGTAAACGTGATTAAAATTTCATCCAATTTTTAAAGAATACAAGTATTATTCTATGTATTCCATCTAGAAGTAAAAAAATAGTGACAGAACTTTAACAACACAAGTATTGCATAAATTGCTTAAAGAAAATAAGTCTGAAATGTTTCATGTTAACATAGCTTTTAATTTATTCACTTGCATTTAAAGTTTATAGACATACGTGTGCACACACACACCCACATTCATGCACACACTATTAACCAAACCAGTGAGAGAAACTGTCTTATTGAGTCAACATAGGTGTTCGACAAATATTGAATAAGTAAGTAAATTAATAAAATTAATATAGGCTGGGCACGGTGGCTCACGCCTATAATCCCAGCACTTTGGGAGGCCAAGGTGGGCAGATCACCTGAGGTCGGGAGTTCGAGACCAGCCTGACCAACATGGAGAAACCCTGTCCCTGTTAAAAATACAAAATTAGCCAGGTGTGGTGGCACATGCCTGTAATCCCAGCTACTCGGGAGGCTGAGGCAGGAGAATCGCTTGAACCCAGGAGGCGGAAGTTGCGGTGAGCCTAGATCATGCCATTGCACTCCAGCCTGGGCGACAAGAGCGAAACTCTGTCTCAAAAAGAAAAAATTAATATATGTGCCCTGCTTTTAGTAAATACTACCATTGGGCGTTCTTTCTTCTGCTCCATCTCGGTCATCTTCATCTTCTCAGTCCTGACTCTTCAGTGCCTGAGTTCCTGGCCACAAGTGCCCTCTGTGTTCATTCTCCCACTCTAGGGAATGGGCCGTTGGCAGAGGGAACAGTAGAGATGCCGATTTGGGCTGGGCTTTGACTGACAATAGACACCACTTGGTGTTTAATGGAGGCTTTCACACAGTGGAAAGGAAATTCCTTCAAATAGATGGGTATTTTCAACCACTCATAACCATATTAATTTTCTTGTTACATATCAGCTTTCTATTTCTAAACCACAATTTATCTGCAGATTTGTCAAGCTACCTCGGTATATTCGAAATTTCTTACTCTTGGGTTAGTCTCTCATGGCAGTGAAAAGTTACACTTTGCAAAATGTTCTATAGCATTCAACATCTGGGAAATGTATGGTTTATAAAAATGACATGTCAGAACTCATAAATGGATAAATTTAACAAAGCTTGTCTCACTTAATCCTTTTTCCTATGACCTCACTGCCTTTTCATACATCTCTGCAGTTGTAATTTTCAGCACATGTGTTTGCTTAAAAAAATGCCAAGTGTAAATCAATGTATGTCACTGTAAAAATGGAATATAAAGTAAAGTGTCATCTTTTCAGCATTTGCTAGCCCAAAATCCCAGTACCATAAAAAGATGCCCATGATATATGAAGGCTTGAGGGAGGGTAAAATAGTTTGTATAAGATGATCCAATTTTCTTTCTAAAATAATGTGTGTGAATAAAATCTATAAGGCTATTAACCAGTACATTAAGAGTTGTCACCACTGTGTGATAGATTTATTCGAGATGCTTATTTTCTTCTTTATAGCTTTTATGTTATTTTTATAATTAGGACAATTATTTTAATAGCAGGGGAACAACATGTGGCTTGGATTTTGTGTTTGTGGTCATTAAGTTAAATAAACAGTGCATCTCACAAGACCGTATCACTCAGACTAAGAAAGGAGACTCTAGTAATTGTACTATAAAGCCACAGAAAGCAATGCTGATACCAGTGGTATATGTATTATTATAAGAGACTCTATCATGACCTGAGACAGCTCCCTGAGCTCAGTTATCAGGTGAGAAAAAGGGGAGCAGCCCTGGAATATCTCAGTATAGTACAGGGAAAGTGAGCACAGCATTTAGGATGGATCTTAATGCCAGGTCAGCCACTTACTGCTATTCAAGTGACTTTGTGCAAATTACTTCACCTTTATTTCTGATACTTATATATATATAGCACTTTGCTATATATGTGTGTATGTGTGTGTCTAATATATATTTATTATATATGTATAATAGTAGTTCTGAAAGTCAGATAATGTTAGATTGATTTCTGCTTCCGCTAATGGATTTGCCAATCCTCACTCAGTTGAAGACTGATTCTTTTCTAAGATGGTATCCTTACAACAATGCCTTGTGACATTTCCAGTGTTTAAGTGTTCAGCATTTTCAAACTGCTGCCTGAGTAATTTCTGGCTATAGATTCATCTAATTATGATGATTCCCCAAAAGGGTGACTTTAATCAAATTTATTTTATAATTAGCTTCTTATCCTTAACCATATCAATGCTGACATTTATTGAATACCATCACCGAGCTACAGATTCGCTAGCTACAGTAAAAGTAACCTTTCCCCAGCCCTTCTAAAGTGAGCCTGAGGGATTCATGTGCAATATATTGGGATGAAACCGAGGATTGCTCTGAAGGAAGGTCATAGCTTTATTGAGGGAGCCTTGGCCTTTCTAGCTGCTATAGGCACTTGGAACTGTTTCTGAGAGACTCTGTTCAAATGGCTAAGCATTTCTGAGCCCAGGATCCCAGCAGAGCCAGTGTTGACTTAGGTGGTGATGAAGGTTCTAGATCTGTCATCTTGGTGGACCATTAGCACAAAAGGTGGGATTGGCAAGGAAAAGATGTGGTATCCCAGGCTACAAAATACTGTGAGGAAACACACTTGTCCCTATATGGCGTCTACTAAACATTGACACCTGCTTAGGGAGGGTTTTACCATGAAGGGAAAAATACAGATTGTTGAACCACACTCAACTCTTAGGTTACAAAGGCTCAGTGACCTACTTTCCGCTTACCACAAAGTAAGTTGCTCCAAGTTTAATGTTGGTCTAAATTTCTCTAACTTTCTCATTACTTTTACATTTCCAGTACTAGACATTCCATGAACTACAGACCATTGATGTTTGTCCTCATTTTGGAATCTGGTATTATTAAATAACTGCTTATTTTATTTTCCCAAATATTAAACAGTCCAAAATTTTGTGTTCTCATTATTCATGTGGCCAACTAGAAGCCCTCAATCTGCTAAAAAAAAAAAAAATTATAGATCCAGTTTTCTTACTTCATAGATAAAGCACTTCTTGAGGCAAAATGAAGCAAGCCAGTGCCTTCTAAACCTTGATTATTCTTTCATTAAAATTAGATAGTAGGCCGGGCATGGTGGCTCACGCCTGTAATTCCCCCACTTTGGGAGGCCGAGGTGGGCGGATCATGAGGTCAGGGGGTCGAGAACATCCTGGCTAACACGGTGAAACCTTGTCTCTACTAAACAAAATGCAAAAAATTAGCCGGGCGTGGTGGCGGGCCCCTGTAGTCCCAGCTACTCGGGAAGCTGAAGCAGGAGAATGGCGTGAACCCGGGAGGCGGAGCTTGCAGTGAGCCAAGATTGCGCTACTGCCCTCCAGCCTGGACAACAGAGCAAGACTCTGTCTCAAAATAAATAAATACATAAATAAAATTTAAAAAATGAAAAAAATTGGGTAGTAACATTAATTCACCTTGGTGATAATGAGGAATTTAGAAATTCTCAATTTAAAAATTCTACACGCCGTAAACTGTAAACTCAGTGTTTCTCAGATCCAGTAATTCTTGACAAGCATTGGAGGGTGCAGCAGCGCTTAGCTCGTGAGGTGGAAACACCAAAGGGACAAATGCCTTTGCTTGTTGTCCTCTAGAGATGGCTTCAAAGCCCCAACAGGAGTGGGCCCAGATTCACACCTAATATTTGCCTAAATTCTCTTGGATTAACTGAAGTCCCAGTTTATGGGTTATATCTAATAGAAAGCTTAAAGAAAAAAAGTAAAAAAAAATTAGTTTTAGATTTTTCTTTTTGACATTTTTTTCCCCATCAAGAAGCACAATAAATGAGCTTTGTCAGTTTTCTTTATTTCCTCCTATTTAAATTTTTTAAAAACTGGTATTGCTCAACTGCTGTTTCTTCTCTTTGCTTTCTCAGTTGTTTCTAAAGAACTCAGAATGTGGTCGCATTCCACATTACTTTAGAAAAAAGTGGGCAGTGGTCCTTTTGAAATGTTTCCTATTGATATTTTATTCAACTGGCAGAGCACTGGAGCAGATGGTGTAGTTTCTGTGAAATCCCTTGTTTGCCTGTGTTACACTCCAATTTGCTTTAATTTGTTTGGCCTTCGTGCGCAATGGAACTTAGCTGTATACTAGTACATGCTTCCCCCTCCTCTGAATCATGCCTCCGTAGAGGAGACCAGTCTCCCAGCTACTCAGGGTAAAGTTAACAAGACAGATGATAGGTCTCAGTCACTGCTGCCTGGTAATTCATGTGCCTCTGCCTAGAACCCATTTCTTTCTTCCTTCCTTCCTTTCTTTTTCTTTCTTTCTTCCTTTCCTTTCCTTTCCTTCCTTCCTTCTTTTTCCTTCCTTCCTTTCTTTTCTTTTCTTTTCTTCACAGAGTCTTGCTCTGTTGCCCAGGCTGGACTACAGTGGTGCGATCTCAGCTCACTGCAACCTCCGCTTCCCAGGTTCAAGCAATTCTCATGGCTCAGCCTCCCGAGTAGCTGGGATTACAGGCACCAGACACCATGCCCAGCTAATAATTGTATTTTTAGTAGAGGTGGGGTTTCACCTTGTTGGCCGGGCTGGTCTCAAACTCCTGACCTCAAGTGATCTGCCTGCCTCGGCCTCCCAAAGTGTTGGGATTACAGGTGTGAGCCACTGTGCCTGGCCCCTAGAACCCATTTCTATTTCCTGAAAATACTTGATCTTATCTACAACATGGAAATATCCCAAACAAAGGGTTTTCCCTCATCTCTAGTCCTCTTTGGTGTCTCGGCCCACGCCCTCCCCCCACTTTGGAGAAAAACTGTGGTCCAACTCTAAATCCCACAAGTTTATTCTATTTGTGGAATTACTCATCCTTAGTTTTCCTTCAGTTCTCTCATAGTTCTTAGAACTATGATGAAGTTTGGAATTAGACATTGCCCAGTAATAAATCCCGGAAAAATAGAACAAAAAATTAAATTTTACTGCATGGTATAGAGCCTTGCCCATTGCAAACGATGAATATGTTTTAAAGTTTTTAGGAAGGATGGAAAATAGTCATAAAAACAAATGATAGGGAATCGTTTTGCAGCTCAGAGATTTCAGTAGTAAATGTCTATCAAATCACTTGTTGAAGACAGAGTTAAGAATTACTGAGTTCCCGGTCCCATGACGTGGACTCTAGTCCACGGAGAAAGTATTGTTCAATTTCAGGGTGCTTCTCTTCCTCACAAGTTCGCATATGTCTGATCGAATGCTGCCTCTTGGTCATAAACTCAACTGTGATATCCATCTTGCTTCTTGAAGAAGTTTTTCCAAACCTCAACTAAGTTTCCTTCTCTCCCTAGAAGACAGTCACCCCAATTATGAGAGTGTTGTGTATATTTTGATTATACATACAATTGGCTCTTCCAATAATGATGAGAAAGTGTTTAATATAATTATTTTCTGATGCCTTTAGTCTGTCACCAACACCTTCTCACTGAAGAATCAGGCTGATATTTTTGATCTAATGCAGTGATGGGATATATAGAACTTTAGAATATGATATATGTGTGTAAAGTACTTAATGTCTAGTGACACACATATCCATTTTCTTGCATATTACTTTGTTGATGTTAATTTTTTATATTTTCTTAGACTTTAGCTAATTTTACCAGCTTCTAATATTATGTACATGTTTGATTTCTTTTGGAGAGAATTTGAAAGGGCATAACATCCTACCTTAAACAAACGACTACTAGAAAGGATACAAGAATGTTTTAATCCATGAAATAAGTTGCCAGATATTATAATTTCTACATTTTACTGAATTAGGCTTTGAGAAGCAGACTGTCTTACATAATTTGTTTAGTTAGTTGATATTCTATTGCCATCTACAAAAAATCTAAAATCCCTTGTCAACTTCCTCTGCATTTCCCCAACAAACTTCCTTATTGTTCAATACAGACATTTAATAAATTGTTGATGAGTTTTGATTATGTCTCGTACCACTGCCATTTCATGAATGAACTTTCTGTATTTCAACTAGTTCCTTTAATCAACTATTTGTCAACATAATCAAGTATAAGTGACACTATACCTTATGTTTCACAGCCTTTTCACTGTTTTCTAAGACAACTGCCACTGTGATCATTTATATCATTAGCCCACAACTTAACAACTAACTCTTTAATACCTAACACATGCATAGCAGCCTATTTGATCAAATGTGGGACCAAGATTTCAATCCAGCATCAGCAATTTTTCCCTACATTCTGTGATTTTGGTTTTATAACTTGATATATTGTTGCTAAATAATTTCTATAACTAATGCACAATTTTTTTATTCTCAAACTCATCTACTTTGAATTTTTTAAAATTCCAGTGGAGCTTTTGATGTCTTAAAGACAAATACTGAGGTTATAACTAAGGTACATAATTTGGCAATATTCAAACCATGAATCTGAGTTTAACTTATTTCTTTTTTGTCCTCTTTTTCCACATCATATTGCTTCTAATTACATGAAAAGGCCATTGAAGTTCAGTCTTTCACTCTTTCAACTTATAGATTTATGCCCAATTAGAAATATTTCTATTCCAGCATTTTCAAAATAAGGGAATTCTTTGAGGTTAATTTAAAAATGTATATCTTGAATTGATACCTCAAGATTTCTGCAGGCTGAATAGAAACTTAGCGAAGGAGCTGAATGTATTCTTAAAATGATTTAAGAATGTGTGGTAACTCTTTAATGCACAGAGATGCTTTTTAAAAGTATTTGTCAAGATTCTTTGAATGGCAAGTTATCTTCAAAAGTTAGCTTAGATACAAAGTAGGGTTTATAAGAAGGATACTGGGTGATTTCATCTCATCAAAGGAAGGGCTTCTAGAACAAAGGAAACCAGGGACAAGAATCTGTCAGCATGCTCTCTCTTCCCCGCTCTTTTTGCTGATTGCTGCACAACTTCTTTTTCCCTTACGGCAGCCTGGCTTCCTTAATGTGTCAGGAAACATGGCTGCAGACATTTTTTAAGTTTAGTATCTTTGGCTCCTACCATTGACTCTTACTCAGTTGCAGTTTGGACACATCTGATTGGCCTGGATTGGGTCTGATGCCATGCCTTGCCATTGATTGACTGGAATTATCAATCAGTCAATCAATCAACCATGGTCAGGATGGTGGGGTTGTATAAACAATAGCAACAGTGACTCTAATCATGAAAATATCTACCATATCCATTAGGAGGTTTTATGGCACAATTAACAGGAAACTTGATTCAACCTGGTTTAAACACAAAGGAGCAATTCATTGGTTTTTAATTCTGGAAGGTTTCAAAGTTGGGTGTGCCTCAAATCTCTCAATTCAGCATTTTAATTATGTCATCAAATATTCAACTGTTTCTGTTTTTACTTTGTGCTACTCCAGTGTGAGCCTCATCCTAAGGCTGGCTCCTCTCATTGCTGTAGGGGTGCTGCTCTCACAGTGGGTACTCCTCACCCACATCAGAAAGAGAGATGGCTTCTATCCTGTGGTAAGCTAGAGTTGGGTTGCACCATCTTGCAAGAGTCAATTTTGCTCATCTATTCCTATTCTGCATTTAATGACTTGTTGTTAATAGCTTGAAATTGGCTATCGTGGGAGTATTTATACGATGGAAATTGGCAAATGCCACAAATCTCTCGGAGAGTTGGTTGTTATATTTACCAGCATACTACTACCTCTATTCCAACTTCCAAATATCAAACAAGGGTGTTGAAATTCACCTTTATTGGACTGGATTGGGTCACACACCCACCTTTGAACCAAGGTCTATGGCCAGGGGACTTGGAATTATAAAGTAAGTGTGCATAACGATTTTGTCAGCGTGCTCTTGTAGGAAGAGTATTCTAACAGCAAACAGCAAACAGGATGTCTGATTTCAGAGTCCACCGTGCCATAGCATGTGCTTATATAAAATAATGTAGTTTGGGTCATTCCCAATGGGGCATTTGTAAGTAAGTAAATTTTGTGTGTTGGGGTGATGTGGATCATTAGATATATGTTCAAGTTAGCATCGCCATGAAATAAAAGCATTTTGTTCTTGTGGCTTGTAAATGAAAATGGGAAAATATTTCACATTGTTAATCATCAGAGCAATTAAAATTAAATATCACAATGAAGTTTCGTTTCGCATGCACCAGAATGGCTAAAATTAAAAAGACTGACAATGTCAAATGTTGGCATCCCTGCAGAGCACTGGAAGTCCCACACATCCCTGGTGAGAATGTATACTGATGTAACTACTATGAGATATAGTTTGGCAGTTTCTTGTAAAATTAAATACATACCTAATTTGGGGGCTAATAATTTCACTCCCATTTATATACCCAAAGGAACTGAAAGCATGTGCCCACACAAAATCTCATGCATGAATGTTCATAGCAGCATTATCCATAATAGCCAAAAGGTGGAAACAAACCAAATGTCTGTCAACTGATGAATAGATAAACAACATGTGCTATCACTATAAAAAGGAAAATATTCAGCCATAAAGAGGAATGACATACTGACACATGCTACTACATGGATGGACTCAAAAACATTATATTAAGTGAAAGAAGCCAGCCACAAAAGGTCACATATTGCATGATTTTATTCATGTGAAATGTCCGGAGTAGACAAATCCATAGAGGCGGAAAGTAGTTTAGTAATTATGTAGGGCAGGAGACCATATACAGGAAGGATGAGACTGGAGTGATTGTTAATGGGCATAACATTTTCCTATGGGCAATGAAAATGTAGAATTGGGAAGAATGTCAGATGCCAAAAATGTTGTGGGAGAGTAAGTCGGCAACACCAATCTAGGGATCATTTGGTAACCTGAAAAATAGTCTTACCTTAGTGCCAGTATCTAACTTCTGAAAACTTATTCTGATGAAATGATGAAAAACTTCCTCAAATATTTATGTACAGGAATGTTTGTTTCAACAATATTTTTATTTACAGAAATGTGGAGAATATAGAATTTCAAGCAATAGGGGATTGATGGAATGTGGATGGCACATCTATATGTTGGAATTTGATATAGGCATTAATATATTATGTTGGTGCAAAAGTTAGGCTGGTTTTTTTCCTTTCCTTTCATAATAATATAATGTTTTATTTTATTTGAGATGGAGTCTTGTGCTATCACCCAGGCTGGAGTGAAGTGGCGCGATCTCAGCTCACTGTAACTTCTGCCTTCCAGGTTCAAGCGATTCTCTTGCCTCAGCCTCCTGAGTAGCTGGGACTACAGGCGCGCACCACCACACCTGACTAATTTTTGTATTTTTAGTAGAGACAGGGTTTTGCCGTGTTGCCCAGGCTGGCCTCGAATTCCTGAACTCAGGTGATCCGCCCGCCTAGGCCTCCCAAAGTGCTGGGATTATAGGCGTGAGCCACCATGTCTGGCCCTAATATAATGTTTTAGAAGAATATTTAATCACATACAAATGCATGATGGATGTAATTTCATATTGATACAAATTAGGTTACCATATGGGTGTCATTTCCTATTAATACAAATTAGGTATGATCCAAGTTAATATTTTAACAGTATGTGTTCACCTACAAAAATCACTGGATATGTTGTAGTGGACACATATCTTTTTAATTTCTTGTTTATTTTGTTTTATATTTTTCTTTGGGGGATGGTAGGCTGGAGCATATATTCACATTATAATTGGCAAACAAAACAATAATATATATTTTATAGTCCTTAAACACTAATAGTGTTTGTGTGAACATCTAAAATGGTTGTTCAATAAACATTAAGGAGTTTCTAATGATATCTCCATGATAGGAGTCCCTTATCTGGACATAAGCTTGGAGCAAGTTTTCTCAGTAGCAGCGCTATTGACATGTTGGGCTAGGTAGTTTTTTGTGGGTCCCAGAGGGTCCGGGGTGTAGGTGCTGCCCTGTGTATAGCAGCATCTTCAGGAGCAACCCTGGTCTCTACTCCACTCTACAGTGTGACAGCAAAAATGCCTTCAGATAGTGCCAGGTGTTCTTGGGGAGGCAACACGGTCCCCAGTTTACAGTCACTGAGTTAAAGGAACCGTTATCTAAAGAAAGGAAATTCTGAATTGTTTCAAGGTGGAAAGTGTCTACTGTGAAGTCCTACCTGTTTTATCATACCTGTGCTTGTTTTGTAGTTAGAGTAAACATTGTTTCAACAGGAAACTAAGTTAAATATCTCGTTTCTCATTTTAATTTTTATAGCAATTGCATGAGTCATCATCACATTTTTGTTTTTATTTTTATGGCCTTAATTGTTTGTGTAGGTTCTGATCATAATGCGGTTGTTCCATGCCTTTTCCAGCTCGTTCCGCTGTGACGGGAAGCTGTGTCAACGATGGCGTGCACATTATCAGAGGTTACAGCGTCATGTCCACCCCATTTGCTACTGTGTGTGGGGATGAGATGCCAGCTCCCCTCACCATCGCTGGGCCGGTTCTGCTTAACTTCTACTCCAACGAGCAAATCACAGACTTCGGATTCAAGTTTTCCTATAGGATAATCTGTGAGTAGCCATAATGACAGAGTTTGGAATTTTCTTCTTTTCTGAGTAATGTATACAAAGAGTTTTCACTGCGATTCATACAGCACTAACTTGAAGATTCAGAGAATTTAAGGGAAAAAGATTGTCAGTGAGGTTCATGGTTAAAAAATACATATACACATTTTTTCTTAAAAAGAAGAGGACCTTTTTCAGGAACTTTGGCTAGAACTACTCTGAAAATCAAATGAAGAATTGACATTTGTTTTGTAATTTAATTTAAATAAATACTACTGCTATTTTTTTGTTTTTCTTACCTTACACAAAGTTGCCTGTTGGTCCAAATTATCCAGATGCCTGTTTTGTTTCCCCAAGTCATTTTGCTAATACAAAAATTAATATTTTATATATTTAGAAGAAATATAAGAGAATGTCTTTACAGTCTGATAGGAAAGACTTTTTTAAAACACTATGCCCAAAACAAAAGCCCTAATGGAAAAGATTGATATATTCAACTATGCTATAATTTACAACTTCTCTGCATCAAAGGCAAAGAGAAAAGAGGAGCAATAGACTGGACAGAGGCATTTGTTGCTACCCAGAAAATTCTAAGATTGCATTTCCTGATCTTGAATAGTCTTTTCCCCTCCTGCCTGGTTAGTTTGCTGACAATATTTATGCACTATCTAATAGACATCTCAGCTGCAGTCAAACTGGCACACAAATCTTGTAACATCTTTCTTGAGTCTATTTCATCTTTGCTCCACCAAACCCATTGCTAAAGGTAGAAAGTTAAATAGTTTCCCTTGGAATAAATTATTGTTCCCATCTCCAGAGAAGACTAAAAACATGTATTTACTTCTGAAAAGGCCCTCCATAATTTGTTCACATTAGCTGCTATCGGCATCCTGACTCCCACAGTTTGTAAAGTATGACTACATATGGCTGTGTAGCTCTGTTGGCTCTAGCAGAATAGAACCACGCAATTAACGTTTCCTCTCCCGTCGTCTTGTTGAATAAAGAGAAGGATGGATTTGTTTTATTCTTTTGGCACAACTGCTGCTTTGGAGAGGTAAACTCCTGCTTTATATTCTTCTTCTCTTTAATCTCTCATTTTCCTACAAGGAAGTAGTCAAGATTCAATATATTCTAGTATAAGAGTCCCACTTAAAGAGTGTCGTTGATGTGAAGACTTCAAATGCTGATATTGTGCAAAGATGGGAGTTATTTAGGCCTTGATAAACTTCCAGAGACCACATAATTGTGTATAAAGTGAAAAGGAGTGATTGCTACCCTTATCTGACATGTAATTCACTTTTACAGATGGACCTGGGGGTCTGAACACACAAGTACTTACAGGCACATAGAGAAGAGTGCTCCCTGCAAGGTGGGCTCAGTTGAGGCAAAAACAGTAAAGAAATAAAGAGCCTGACATGGCAGCCTCAATTTGTTCCTCATTTCTGAGGATGTAAAGTGGAACGTGTCCACTGATAGTGTATAAACCATGGAAATACTTCAAAATGCGTTAACCCCATTATAATTTTAGAATCATAAATATACATAGATAGGTCTTTCCACTGCAGGGAGAGTGATCATCAGGAGGTACAATCTGATCCTCATATGTAAACCCAAGCAAAAATAATCACTTTATATTGTGGATAAGAAGGCTTTATTACATTTTTATGTCTGTCGTTTTATTGACTAATGGATCTAGCTCAAGGCTCTGAGCTGTTAATTGCTGGAATCCTGGAGAGGAACGGGCCTGGCCTCCTCCTGCTTGTTGAGGATTGAGGATCAGTGATATTAATACAAACTGGGGCAAGTTTAGTCCTTACCAGTCTCACAACTGACTGCAAATCCACCAGACTGGAGAGCTATACATTTGAGCCCACAGAAGGAACTAAACTGGAAAGCTCCAAAAATGATTTCCAGTAGTTTACCATATAATATTCTATCCCTGACAGGAGAGACAGGGATCTCTATTATTTCAGATTTCCAGATCACAACCTTCCTAGATCTGTACGCCCAGAACATCATTCTGGCCGCCTTTTCCGTACTTCGTTACTGTTGTCATCCCTCTCTCAACCTGTCAATGAAATACAGCTAAGTGATGGTGAAATGTTCCTGCTCGTCATTTTCACTCTGGCCATTAATTTGACTCAGACTGATTCCTTTCCAAGATGAGCCTTTAAATATTCTTCCCTGTTTCTACCCTCTTGCTGTCTTTCATCTTCCTTCCTAGTGGAAAAATCAGAATTATGTGTAAACACAATGAAGGGAGATATAAGTCACTTTAAGAAAAATAATTATTACCTCTTTTAGGGAAAAATGTACAATAGTATAGAATCTCTTAAAATCATTTTTCCATGCTGGGACTAATCGTTGTTCTCTTCATATTCCCTTGTCTTCTGTTGCAGCCTGTGGTGGTGTGTTCAATTTCTCTTCTGGAATCATCACAAGTCCTGCCTATTCATACGCAGACTACCCAAATGATATGCACTGTCTGTATACCATCACCGTTAGTGACGACAAGGTGATCGAGCTCAAGTACGTAAGACAAATTGGCTTTCTTAAGAAAATCCTTTCAGCATTATTTATAGAAGAGCCATTCGTTTATTGATGGAGGGCACTGATTCTCATCGGCAGTCTGGAGGGAAATCTACACAGAGGAGTGATGTTCCTAGATGACAGTTCAACCTGGGAAATGACGCTCCCCCTCTCCACACAAGCCGGTAGTAACTAAGGGCAAAAAACAAGCACTCACCAGTTAAAACAGTCGTTATAGTTTCCCAACAATTGTGAAGGAGCATCATAACATGGATTGTCAAGGTATAATAAGCCCATCTTGAAATCAAAGGAGAGAGGAAGGGCAAGAGAAAGCAGTTGCCATGTGTTGGGTATTTATTATACACAAAGAACTTTGATTCACACGTGCCGTAATTGTCTCATTGTATTCTTAAAACAGTCATATGAGGTATATATAGATTCTAGATTGGGAATTGTATAGATTATTCCCATTTCACTGATGAGGAAACTGAGGCTCAGAAGGATCAAATTGCTTTCCAAAAGTAACACACACATAAAGAGTCAAAATGTGTATTCATGCCAGGCTTCCTCCAAACACCACATCCTCAATGTTTCCCAATACTGTCTCTCAAAGTATACATTTTCTTTTTTCTTTTCTTTTTTTTTTTTTTTTGAGAGAAGGTCTCACTTTGTCACCCAGGCTGGAGTGTAGTGGCACAATCTCGGCTCACTGCAACCTCTGCCTCCCAGGTTCAAGAGATTCTCCTACCTCAGCCTCCTGAGTAGCTGGGATTACAGGCAGGCGCCACCATGCCCTGCTCAGTTTTGTATTTCTGGTAGCGACGGGGTTTCACCATGTTGGTCATGCTGGTCTCGAACTCCTGACCTCAAGTGATCCTCCCGCCTCGGCCTCCCATGGTGCTGGGATTACAGGCATGAGCCACCGCACCCAGCCTCAAAGGATACATTTTCTAACTACTTAAGAAATCTATTTTTATACCTGTGTCAGAACACCTCTAAACTGATGCTATGAGAGATAGCTTGAGTCACTGGTCAATTTTCTTCCCAGTCTTACCTATTCCCAACAAGACTGATGAGGGCAATGCAACCTCCCACTCTCCAGAATGATAAAGTTCAAGACTGTTTTCACCTGACAGCCTATTTCAGTGATATACGTATGGCATGTGGTGGGAAACTCTGACAGTAATATTGTTCATGGTCATGTAGGACTTTCCATACAGAAGCCTGATGGGCTAAGACCACACCTACCTACCTACCTACCTACCTACCTCCCCTCTATTTGTCTGTGATCATTTTCTACCCTAAAGATTCTGTACTCCCTGCAGTTTACTTCCAGAGGCCTCATGTATCAGTTGGCTCTCCAAGTGAACAAGAGATGTCTTGATGAAAGACATCTCTCATCAAGCCTGATTTGGTTCCTGTATCAGGCGTTCTATAGGCTGGACCTCGAAGAAAACTGCAGCTCTTACCTGGACTATTTGTAGGAAAACAGAGTGTCTTTTAGGTCTTGGGGACAAAAGAACAGAAACTGTCAGATGGCCAGGAGCAGGAGTTCTGTGAAGTATGCCTGCACAGGCGTGAAAGTGTAAGGGGGAGCCATTTGCTACTGTGACTCACTATTTGTTTCTCATATGTGTAGGATTGATTATTGCCTTGTTCTGTTCAGGTTGCTTTAACAAAATATCATAAACTGGGTGGCTTATAAACAACAAAAGGCTGCAAAAGTCCAAGGTCGAGGCAGATTCGTTGTCTGGTGAGCTCCTGTTTTCTGGCTTATAGAAGGTACCTTCTTGCTGTGTCTTCATGAGCTGGAAGGGCCTCTTATAAAACACTAATCCCATTTGTGAGGGGTCCTCCCCCATGACCTAATCACCTCCCATAGGCCCCACTTCCTATACCATTAGCTTAGGGAACATATGAATTTAGGGGAACACAAACATTCCAACCATGGTATACATACCAACTCATAGAGGTATGTTATATATTCTCTCTCTCTTTATCTGTCTATCTATCTATATATATATGTATGTATACAATCTAAATGTATTTTTTCAGTTTTCAGCCTGGATCCTGGAGCTCACCATAATGAAATTTACATCTGCATGTTTATTTTATTTTACTTATTTATTTATTTGAGACTAGCTCTCACTCTGTCGCCCAGGCTGGAGTGCAGTGGCGTGATCTCAGCTCACTGCAACCTCCACCTGCTGGGTTCAAGCGATTCTCCCACCTTAGCCTCCTGAGTAGCTGGGACTACAGGTGTGTGCCACCAGCCTGGGTAATTTTTTCTTTTGTATATATATATATATTTAGTAGAGATGGAGTTTTGCCATGTTGGCCAGGCTGGTCTTGAATCCCTGACCTCAAGTGGTCCACCTGCCTCGGCCTCCCAAAGTGCTGGGATTGCAGGTGTGAGCCACCACACCCAGCCTACATCTGCAGGTTTAGAAAATTATTTATTGCGCACTAAGAGCCTACATTCTAGGAAACAGATAAGATTCTAGGTGTGGTAGAAGATGCAGACATTAATAAAAGGCTCTCAAAAGATTGTGGTTACACAAGCTTTTCTGTCAATGGGCTTTTCAGATCTCTTCTGTGCTCTCCTGGGAAAATGATGTAAAATAAAAAGCCAAAGCAGATTTAAGTCCTCTTAGAAACTCAGATTTTATCTCTCTTTGTGGATTCTTTTTGTGAAAAATAAATGTGTTGTCTGTAGAGAATTAAAATGAATACAGTGTTGTTGGAAATTATCTAGCTATTGTTCTTCCCTGATCTTTTACAATAACATTAAATGTTAAATGTGGTAAAAGAAAATCAATACGGTTTTCATCTTGTTCCTCATCAGTCTGAAAACCTTCAACCAACCAAAACCTTTTAGAAAAAAAACCAACAATTTTTTTTCTCAAGGCTGTTGAAAGGAAGCATTTATTATATATTTTATATATAAATATATATTATTTAGTCTATATTTTCAAAATTATTCCATATTATGGATTGTTTATTAGAGCTACTGCCAAAATAAATTGAAAATGCAGGCTGGGCATGGTGTCCCATGCCTGTAATCCCAGCACAGGGAGGCTGAGGCAGGCAGGTCACCTGAGGTCAGAAGTTCAAGACCAGCCTGGCCAACATGGCAGAAACCTCATCTCTACTAAAAAATATACATGTAATTAAAAAAAATAGCCAGGCATGGTGGTGGACACCTGTAATCCCAGCTACTCGGGAGGGTGAGGCAAGAGAATCACTTGAACCAGGGAGGCAGAGGTTGCAGTGAGCTGAGATTGTGCCACTGCACTCCAGCCTGTGCAACAGAGTGAGACTCTGTCTCAAAAAAAAAAAGAAAAAGCAGAAGAACCTATAAAAATGAGGACAGGATATCAAATATTATTTTTTTAAACAAGTTTTAAAAATAAGCTATAATAAACCCACCACAAAACTCTAAAGTAAATCCATGTAAGAAGCCTTGCTTGTTCAGGAACTCTAGAAATCGTTATTTGAAATGACAAAGAATAAGACCTGAATTAAACACTGTATAAGACAGAGAAAAGTTAGGGATGCATCTGTCAGGATAGGTTATGCACATAGTAACAAACAACTCCACCTCACAGCAGCTTAACTCAACAAGTTGATTTCTCATTGTAATGAGCATGTTCAGTGTGGCCTGGCATGGAAGCTCTGCTCATCGTGGTCATCCAACAACCCAGGCTGATGGAAGCTTCGTTTTTACATTTGCTTCCATGATCATCACTGCAGTGGGAAGGCAGTGTGGCAAAGCAAGTAGTCATTTGTAAAGCTTCTTCCGTAAAGTAATATGTATCCCTTCTGCTTACATTTCTGTGGTCAAAGCAACTCCTAGCAGCCATGTCAAGCCTCAAAGTGTGCCCCTAGGGCAATCCTACCAGTGCTGGGGAGGCAGAGAGCTGGGACCATGTGCAGAAGTGTCAGTGACCACCACAGAGGTCTTAAATGTAAATTTCCTGTTCTTCACCTGACCTTAACATAAACTTCATTTTAAAAGAGGAAAATGAGACTGTGAGGAGAATGGAGCTGTGATTCTAAAAGCAGCATTTCTTCTATTATATTAACATGCTTCCCATAAGTTCTACTTCATCTCATAAAATAACAAGGGAAGAGTAAATATGGTATTTTTAATGAGACCTAAAAAACTAAAGTATTGCTGGGATAGTAAATATCAGTTCAACTTGTCAAAAGTTGTTCTCAGATGGACTTTAATATGCCCTAGACTGTGAATTCCTTGAAAAGTAAGACTGTATCTTACTCACTTTGACATCCCCAGCTGCTGTCACAGTTTTTGTTGTATTGTAATTACTAAAAACAAATTTGGCTAAACTTTTGAACTGATCAGTAAAGTACTGTTTGATTTCTAATATTTCATATCAAGTGAGTTTTGAATGCTCTACTGGTAGTTTTTTCCTTGTCATTTTTTTTGCAAGAGCTAAAGCTACAATTTAATAGAAGTCCAAATGGAAACATCAGTATTAACAAGGTACATTTCACAGGTTCAGTGATTTTGATGTGGTTCCCTCCACCTCCTGCTCCCATGACTACCTGGCAATTTACGATGGTGCCAATACCAGCGATCCCCTTCTTGGCAAATTCTGCGGTTCCAAGCGCCCACCAAATGTGAAGAGCAGCAATAATAGTATGCTCCTGGTGTTCAAGACAGATTCATTTCAGACAGCAAAAGGCTGGAAGATGTCTTTCCGGCAGACATTGGGTAAGAATTCTGGACTTGTAAATCTATTTGTCAGGACTGTTACCTTTCTGCTTTATTTAATTTCCCCGCCCCCCCCCCACCCCCACCTGATTATGATTGCTTTTCCTTGAAGCTTAGAAGAATATGCCATGTAAGGGCTTGGTTTTAAAACTTACGTATGACATATTTTAATGTTGTAAAAAAATCACTCAACAAATGTACCCAGCACTTTGGGAGGTTGAGGCGGGTGGATCACCTGAGGTCAGGAGTTCAAGACCAGCCTGGCCAACATGGTGAAACCCCATCTCTACAAAAATACAAAAATTAGCTGGGCATGGTGGTGTGTGCCTGTAATCCCAGCTACGCAGGAGGCTGAGGTGGGAGAATTGCTTGAACCCAGGAGATGGAGGTTGCAGTGGGCCAAAATCATACCATTGCACTCTAGCCTGGGTGACAGAATGAGACTCTGTCTCAAAAAAAAAAAAAAAAAAATCACTTTGGTAGCACAGTGGAGGAAGGCTAGAAGAACCTACAACATGGGAAGGAAGAAGCTTATGATAGAAATCTAGATGGGAAGTGTCAAAGCCTTGAACGGACCCAGAGGGGAAAGAGATAAAGGGAAGGGCAGAAATCTGAGAGACGGAAGGCAGAATACATTGGAAGCACAGTGTTTGGACTCTGATGATATTTTAATGAGGACATGAATTGAGGATGACTTTCTATAGGTAATTTGTTGGATGATGGTGGCTTAGGAGACTAAGATTTAAGGGAGAAATGTTTTATTTAATTTGGAGTATTTTAAGTTGGAAGACCTGTTTAAATGGAGCTGTCTAGTTGGAAGCTGATGCTTGAGAAGGAATTTGGACTGGAGAGGGTGATGTAGCGGGGGTAGGTAAAGTTAGGTGAGAGGATAAACTGAAAATATGCCCCAGATTACTCCCACTGCATGTGAGAAATAAATTATCCACATCAAACACCACTGGTGAGAAATACCCATATCAAATTAACTCAGAATTTTGAATAATTTAAAATAAAAGGTAGTTAATCAATTACCTGTTTGGCTATTCTAACAGCATCAGTGACACAGTCTAAGATCATTAATATTCGACTCTGGAAAGTGTTTTGATCCTTTTCCTTTTGAATATAGATGTGATTAATGTTCTAAAAATGCACAACTCTCCAAACAAATCTCATACTCTGTGAAGACTCAGAAAAATCCAGGCAGTTTTCTGTAATAATAACCCTGATTCACTTTTCAAACTTTCTGTTTCTTCCATAGTGTGGATAAACTTCGTTTCTCTGATGCAAAACGGAGTTTACCTTCAACTTCTTGATATTGGGCATGTGAATTTTTCCATGCAGTACTTGAGGAAAGCAATTAGACATTGTGTTTTGAAGGCTTCCCGGTAAACCACACACCTCAAGACAAATTGTATCAGAAAATCCCTTTGCCACCTCCCCTACTTAGCTGTCTCAACAGTAACTTGAAAGCAAGTCTCACGGGCAGTGAGAGAGTGTTGCCTTAACAGAATTGTGTAGGTGAAGTAGCATACAAAAGCCAGAAGGCTATTTTGAAAGAAAAATTAATTTTCCTTTGGAGATTTTTTTTTGCACAAAAAAGGGATATATTCTTGCCTTTAGCACAGACTTTAGACCAAATGTCCTATGTCTGCATTTGCTTTGCTACCTTTCAAGTTGTTTTTCTTTTTCCTAATATAGTCTCACAAGAAAATGGTAATTGTTGTGTTAACAATCTCCTCACTGCTATCATCTGCATGAAGCTTCTCAAGTGAGCCAGGGTTCCCTAGCCTCATTAAATTACCATGTCTTTCCAAGCCACAAAGAAGACATTTTTAGACCTATTGTGATTTAACAGAAGGAAAAGTCTTACACTGTCAGAAGCATTCTCTATGCACGAGTCATTGAACAATTACAGTCACTTACTGTTTTCCTCTGGCCACAGTTAGGGAAAAGGTTTAAGTGGAGAATGTAGAAACGGAACTCCTTGCCAGCATTGTGTTACCCCTGTATTTCATGAAGATGATTTTTACCTCTTTTTCATCTGCATAAATGCCATCAGCCACTTGGAAATACTTCAAGTCATTGTAACTACTCTTTGATGGTAATGTTTAAGTGAAAACCTAAGTATTATGATTTTGCATTGCAGTGGTCTTACAAAGCTTTCAAGACCACACACTGACAAGTTTATTGATCATTCTGCATAACTTTCAAATTTTGTTTCATTTTGGTTTTTATTGTTTGTAGTGAGGAGAGGGGGAAGGAACAATAAGAATAGCTTTGACTGTAAGGTTTATAGGGTCGTTTAGTTATAGCTTTGGATGAAGACAAACTTGGCTAATAGGATGCCCCTTTTGCCTCCAACTCATTTATGTAAAACAACTCTGTCTTTCCCCTGAAGAGAGGGAAATCAACTTTGTGGACCAGATAGTGGATTTTCATTTACAAAGCTGTTTGCTCAGCCTGGAAAACAATATCTTCACTTAGTAAATAATTGATGTGAAGAGGAGACCATTTTAGTCTATGACATTTCCGTTTCGATCTTAACTAAAACACTAAGTAGGGTTTTGCAGATTTGCTATTTAGATTATACACTTGGCAATGTTTTATGTACATCTGCTTCAATTTTTCAGGATGAAGAGATTGGCTTATATAATTATGTGACTATTAGGTTCAATTCGCCTTGTGCATTTGTTATATTTGTATTGCTAGCGAGTCACAGCAAATTTGGGGGAACTATCCCTAGTTGCTAATTACTAAATATGTAGTGAAATTGGGTCTCCTTTTTCCTCGGAACTTCTGCTGCTGGAGGCCCATATGCATGGATGCAAGGTAAGGAGAAAGCACATTTGGCAAGCATGAGCTGATCTCTAACTGCAATGGAAATGTGCCTGCTTGTCTCCCCCCTGTGCTCCAATGCTATATGAATAATTGATCCTGAATGGCTGACAACCAGCAAAATGATCACACTGGGCTGCAGCAATCTGTGAAACTCTGAAATAATCTGCAAATCGGAGCATTTTTCCTAACCGAGTTCATAGTTTGCATCAGATTGTCAATGGCTTCTATGCTCCTATAAAGTTTAAAAAGCTGTTGGTTCTGTGGATTTGGCTAAGTGGGCATGGCCTATAGGCAGAACGGATGCTTTTAAGTACCTTCTGTCCTGTTAACTTCTGCTAGTTTAGTTGCTGCCCCTTCCTTTACCAGCAGGGTCGTCTCCTGCCTTGACTCTGTTTATGTGTGTCCTGTACAAATCACTTCACACTTGCAAACGTATTTTTAACCATCAGAGCCTCCAGTTCTTCCTGAGGGGGTCTCATACCAGAGAGTTGCTTGGCCTATTCACAATATGCATGTCACACTACACATCAAACTTCTACACATAGGGTTAGATCAGGGGCTTTCAGTAAACTTATTTATTTACTGTGCAGTAGCATCATTGTTTCATTTTTTTTTTCTAAAATGATGTATTCTATAACACTTCAGCAAAACTTCAGTGTAGAAAATGGAACTTGGCTCTATTAGATGGGAGGTCTGCAGGCATTTCAATTAGTGAGTTGCCAAGGAGAGACTGAGGGGTGTCCCCTGCAAGACAGCAGGGGGACAGACAGCACAGGAAGACAGATGGGGAAGACGCACCCTCAGGGACAAGTGGTGGCAGTGCCTGTGTTTCTGGAGTTGGTTCCTTCTGGTGGGTTTGTGGTCTCACTGACTTCAAGAATGAAGCCATGGACCTTCGTGGTGAGTGTTACAGCTCTTAAAATTGGCATGGACCCAAAGAGTGAGCGGTAGCAGGGTTTATTGTAAAGAGCAAAAAAACAAAACTTCCGCAGCGTGGAAGGGTACCCGAGCAGGTTGCGGCTGCTGGCTGGGGTGGCCAGCTTTTATTCCCTTATTGCCCCCTCCCATGTTCCATTTTTGTCCTATCAGAGTGCCCTTTTTTCAATCCTCCCTGTGATTGGGTACTTTTAGGATCCTGCTGATTGGTGCATTTTACAGAGCGTTGATTGGTGCATTTTACAATCCTCTTGCTAGCTACAGAGCGCTGATTGGTGCATTTTACAATCCTCTTGTAAGACAGAAAAGTTCTCCAAGTCCCCACTTGACCCAGGAAGTCCAACTGGCTTCACCTCTCACCTGGACTCAAAGCTCCCAGCCAGCCCCTGTTGCCCAGAGCACACATGCTGATGACGAGGGCCACTGTCTGCCTTCCTCCACCTGGGGTATTTGTCACATGGAGACTGAGTCAGGTTGCATTAAGGTCAGTTCAGAGACCTTTGCTAAGAGACCAAGGCAAAAATACCCAAGCACATATATAACAAGGACAGAATGAATTACAGTCCAACAAATGTATAAATATGTTCAGGTAGGCTGGGCACGGTGGCTCACGCCTGTAATACTGGCACTTTAGGAGGCTGAGGCAGGCAGATCACTTGAGGTCAGGAGTCCAAGACCAGCCTGGCCTACATGGTGAAACCCCGTCTCTACTAAAAATACAAAAAATTAGCCAGGCATGGTGGTGCATGCTTACAAACCCAGCTACTTGGGAGGCTGAGGCAGGAGAATCACTTGAACCCAGGAGGCAGAGGTTGCAGTGACCCAGTGACCCAAGATAGCACCATTGCACTCCAGCCTGGGCAACAAGAGCAAAACTCCGTCCCAAAAAAAAAAAAAAAAAAAAAAAAAAAAAGCTGGGCATGGTGGCTCACGCCTGTAATCTCAGCACTTTGGGAGGCCGAGGTGTGTGAATCACCTGAGGTCGGGAGTTCGAGGCCAGCTTGACCAACATGGAGAAACCCTGTCTCTACTAAAAATACAAAATTAGTCAGGCATGGTGGCACATGCCTGTAATCCCAGCTACTCGGGAGGCTGAGGCAGGAGAATCGCTTGAACCTGGGAGGTGAAGGTTGTGGTGAGCCAAGATTGTGCCCAGCCTGAGGAACAAGAGCAAAAAAATCCATCTAAAAAAAAAAAAAAAAAAGAAAGAAAAAAAGACATATGGCCAGATGGAAAGAGCTGATTGATGCATGATATCATTGCTTGGTGATACGGCTTTAGAAAAGCCCTATAACGTTTTGAATCTCAATTTTTATCTACTAAAAAACTGATCAATTTGAAATATTACAACTATTTAAGAATGTGATGGGGATAAAGCAGATAATTTCTGGAAAGCACCTTAGCTGTCAGAGTGAAAGACTCTATGTATTAGAAAGTAATATTGAAGTCCCAAATTTTCAAGCCCCCCGCCCAACCCTATTTCCAAGGTTGGAGGGTGGCTGAGGGTGGGGTGGGCAGGGATCAACATTCTCAACAGGACCACATCATGCTACAGTGATTTTTCGTTCTTTCCTACCCACTTTGCAGTGACACCTAACCGTCAAATCCTAAAGTACATTTTATAACCTAAATCTGAAATCAAAAGCTACATTCTGATTAAATCCCCAGGCCTTGCACAATTGTTACTCCATCGATATTGTCCATATGAGTGATTTACAGAATAAATGGATAAATTGTGCCTACTTCAAAATCATATTTTATAATGAGATATAATAATATACCATATAGAACACATTAGATTTTATCTAGATTCAGCTCATTCTCAAAATTCAATCCTGGTTTATATAATTGTTGGGTAAGCTCTACACAGGGAGGTAAATTGAATCACTTTCATCTTCAGAGAATTAGGAATACCGGATCACACTCAATATTTAGGTCATCTGTGTTTCTCTCCTGTGAGTTTTTGCCTGTTACCTTAACATCTGGAAAATGTCTCTCAAACACGTTAAATGAAGACAGTGGGAGTGGCAGAAGGAAGTTGAAGGGGATAAAAAAGAAGGAAACAGGAAAGAAAGAAAGAAGGAGACAGAGAAAGCTGAAGAGAGTCTAGGGCCACAAAGATGGAAAACATGGTCACAACAAATGGAAAAAAAAATCTAACATGTCCAATTCAGACTTCTGCTTCTAGTTATTTTTAAGTTTCCCAGTTTTGGTGTTAAATTTAAACTTTGTGAGGCATTCTAAAATAGCTAAACAATACAAGAATAAACTTAAAAATTCAATGGCATAAAAAATATATGTATATGTCTCTAGGTACCTCTTGGTGGCCTGATTGAAGTTGTCAGCTCACGTTACTGTTAGAAGTACAAATGTAATAAGGAAGTTGAATTATAACTTGAATAATTGGATAAATCACTGATCAAACAACTCTCAGTTTAGCAATAATGAGGGTATTGCTCCAAAGCAACCATGGAATGTCATTTTTCTGGTTTCCTAATGTCATTTGCTCCCTGTGATGAAGTCTGAGAATGAGATGAGCTGAAACTGTAAACCCATTTAAAGAAAAACCCAACTAAGCTTATTTCCGCTCTTTTTAAGCCCTGTACCTTTTACTGGTGATTAGACTTCCCTTGGGGGATGATCCTAAAGACAAGGTTATCTTCACGTTATTCTTTGTGGGTTTTATGGGGAAAGGTTTTTTGCTGAGCTGAGAATGTGGGAACGGGATAAAGAAACCAACAAATGCTTAGTTCACCAAAACTTTACAAAAGCAAGTAGACAGGAGTTAAATACCAAATCAGCAAGAAGAAAGGAAAGGTTCTTAATAAACATATTTCAACACTGGAGTCTGTGCCCCCACCAATGACTAGATTGCCACTCCTGGTCTTGAAGGATGGGGCTGTCCTTGTGAAAATAAAACCACATGGTATTGTGGAGACCAAACTAAGTGATAAAATTGAGTTAATGGTAAATTATAGGATAACATTTTGAAAAACACTGAAGGGAACAGGTGCTGGGAAGAAGCACTTATTATGTGTAATCTAAAACACAAGACGCGACCTAGTTTTGTCGCAGGTAACTGGTTATTTTGGGTTAAATTATTTGTACCCATAAATTCCCTATAATAATCAACATCCTTACTCAGATCAGCCTGGCTTTGTTATAGCATTCCCAGGAACATAAAAACAAAATATATGCAGTGAGCAATAAAAATTTTAAAACATTCTTTTGTTATAAATAAACTGTTAGGAAATATAATAGTGGGACCGTGTTCTTCTCTTCATTCTAATATGTGAAAAGTCTGTTAACATTACATGGTAGCTGTACATTTTGCTCACTCACAAGTAAAGACTTGTCAGGAAATCCCAGGGCATCGTGAAAATCACTGCTTGTCCCTGAACCTGTGCCCTACCAGATGTAGCATGAGCTGCTTGATGTATATTACTTTATCTAATCCTCAGAGCTACCAGATGAGACAGGAATTACCCCATTTTACAAAGGAAGAAAGAAAAATTTAAGAGATTAAGTAATTTGTCTGTGGTCCAAAGGGTTTGTAAGAGGTAAAGCCAGGCTTTGAACATGAGTTTGACTGTCCCCCAAACTCCTGATTTTCTTAGTAAGCCTTCATTGCCTCTGTGGCAATTGATAAAAATACCCAGGGATGTGATGTGTGTGTGTGTGTGTGTGTGTGTGTGTGTGTGAGAGAGAGAGAGAGAGACGGAGTCTCACTCTGTTGCCAGGCTGGAGTGCAATGGCGTGATCTCCGCTCACTGCAACCTCCTTCTCCCAGGTTCAAGCAATTCTCCTGCCTCAGCCCCTTGAGTAGCTGGGATTACCCGCGCATGCAACCACGCCTGGCTAAGTTTTGTATTTTTAGTGGAGACGGGCTTTCACCATGTTGGTCAGGCTGGTCTCGAACTCCTGACCTCATGATCCACCCTCCTCAGGCTCCCAAAGTGCTGGGATTACAGGTGTGAGCCACTGCGCCCAGCCCCCAGGGATTCTTTTTAACAGAAATGTATGCAAAAGGGCACTGGAAGCAAGAAAGAAGGGATCTATGGTACTTGGATGTTCCGTGGAAGAAAGGACACAGGACTGTTAGAGGATGCACCTCAGAGAATGTGAGTCCTGAATTATGGTGCAGTGGGTAAGAGGGTAAACGTGGAGCATCACATCCCAGATTCAAACTCAGTTTGTACATCTCATTGAGGTCGATCTTGGACAATTTACTTATCCACTCTGAGTCTTGATTTTTTTTTTTATCTGTAAAAACAGTACACTAATAATAATGACCTTATAGGGTTCAGTGATTAAATTAGAAAATACTTGTCACTCATTTCACATGCGAGAATTTTTAGCTATAAATAGTATTATTTTGGAAGGATAAGAAGGCATTCATTGGCCAGGCATGCTGGCTCACGCCTGTAATCCCAGCGCTTGGGAGGCTGAGGCGGGCTGATCACCTGAGGTCAGGAGTTTGAGACCAGCCTGGCCAACATGGTGAAACCCCATCTCTACCAAAGAATACAAAAATTAGCTAGGCTTGGTGGCACACACCTGTAGTCCCAGCTACTCGGGCAGCTGAAGCAGGAGAATCCCTTGAACCTGGGAGGCAGAGGTTGCAGTGAGTGGAGATCACAGCACTGCACTCCAGCCTGGGTGACAGAGTGAAACTCTATCTCAAAAAAAAAAAAAAGGCATTCATTGGGAAAATGGACAATCTATGGAGAAATAAAACACATGCACAAAGTTACAGGTGCATCCCATTTCAATGGATGCCAGCTAACCTGAACATTGGTAATGCTTTGGGGCATAAGGCAGAGAACAATAGGTGCTGAGAGAGGAGAGATATGCAAAGGCCAGGCATGGAGGGCTCTGTATCATGTGCAAAGAGGAGCCAGTCATTGTTTTGAGCTGGAGCGTGCTATCATCTGGTCAGATTTATTTTAGAAAGCACATCCCAGCACCTGTGGGGATGATGTTTTGAAGCAGCATTCCAGGGAAAAAGTTAGAAAAGTATTGCAATAGTTTAGGCATGGGATGATAAGAGCAGTGGTACCATGAAAATAAAGAAAGAGACTGAAAGGAGAAATCCTCAAGATATAGAATCAATAACACAGTGTTCCATTTGAGAGAAGCAGCTTGGGAAGAAGAAATAATAATGCTCCTAAGGTTTCTGGACAATGTCTTGTGACACCACTATTCAAATAGAAAATTACTAGGAGAGGACAGTGCTTTGCAGAATAAAATAATAAAAATGTTGGGTTTTGTCTGGAGAATTTGATGCCTTTAGGATATCCAGCTAGTGATCAGTAGGTAGTCAGATAAGAGAGTTAGAAGCTCAGTAGAAACATCTTGGCTGGAGTTTTGCTCTTTTTTATTTTGAAGCCATATAATGTGGCACATGTACATTTATAATTATTATATCTTTCTAGTGGATTGACTGATACCATTATGTAACAACGTTTTTAAATGCTTTTTGCCTTAATTTCTACTTGTTCTGATTTAGTATAACTTCCATAGCTTTCTTTTGATTCATATTTGCGTGATATGTTTTTAAACCCTTTTATTTTCAACTTGTCTCTATCCTGAAGAATATATTTGGCTTTTGTTTGGCTATGCCTTTCTATTGAAGAATTTAATGTGTTTATATCTGATAAAATTACTAACAATATTAGTTTTAGATAGACCTTTGTACTATTTGTGTTTTGTTTGTCCCACTTCTTTTTGTTTTCCTTTAACTATCTTTTCTTTTTAAAATTAATCACTTTTTTATTACTCCCCTTTTAAAATTATTATTTATACATCCTGTGACTCTTGTTTCAGTAGTTACCTTAGAGATTACAGTATTCAACCTTAATATGTTAGAATCTAATTTAAAGTTGATACTTTTATCATGTTATAATCAATAATCAATCCAAGGACCTTGGAACATTTTAAACCCACTTACCCACTTCCTGTCTTTTGTGCTATCTATGCCAAGTATTTTAATTCTACGTACATAATAGGTACACAAAACATTTTTATTGTTTTATACAATTACTAATAATGTAAAATTACCCTTGCTGTTATTTTTCTTTTCTTCCTGAAATTCTATGCTTCCATATGGGATTAATGTATTTCTTTTGGAAGACCTCTCTTTTATGTTTCTTTCATTGGAGATCTTCTGGTAAAAAGTGTTCTTTGTTTTTGTTTTTCGAAAATGACTTGATTTTCTTAAATTCTGTGGGATTCTTGCTCTGAGTATAGAGTTCTAATTTGGCATTTATTTTCATTCAGGACTTTACGATGCTATTCCATCATGCTCTGGCTTGTATTATTTTGATTAGGAAGCCATTGCTTTCTATAACTGGGGACCCCCATCCCTCCCCTGGTCATCTCATTGTAGAGTACTGTTATTGTTGCTGTTGTTGTTATTTAATTTTATTTTAGCCATTCTGGTAGGTGTGTATTAATATCTCATGTGATTTTAATTTAATGGTGAACAATTTTCACGTGCTTTTCGTCATCTATATATCTATTCTCTGGTGAAATATCTATTTATATCTTTTACCCATTTTCTAATTGAATTGTTTATTTTTCTATTGTTGGGTTTTGAGAGCTTTTTATCTATTCTCAATCAATGATCCTTTGTCAGTATGTGGTTTGCAAATGTTATTTCCCAGTCTATATCTTGCCTTTTAATTTTCTTGCCTTATATTGGCCTTTCACTGAACAAAAGTTTTTAATGTTGAAGTTCAATTTATCGACTTTTTCTTTTATAGATCATGTTTTTGATACCAAGTCTAAGAATTCTTTGCCTACCCCAAGGTCCCAGAGATTATTCTGGTGTTTTCTTTTAAAAGTTTTATGATTTTACATTTTTCATTTGTGTCTATGATCCATTTTGAGCTCATTTTGGTTTAGATATGAGATTTAGGTGGAAGTCAGTTTTTTGCCTCTGGATGTCCAATTGCTCTAGCACCATTGGTTGAAAAGGCTGTCCTTCCTTCATTGAATTGCATTGGCACATTTGAAAAAAATCAGTTGGACATATTTGTATAGGTCTATTTCTGGGTTCTGTATTCTATTCCATTGATTATGTGTCTAACTCCTCACCAATATCACACTGTCTTGATTACTATAGCTACATGGTAAGCCTTAATATCAGGTGGAGTGATTCATCCCACTTCATTTTTCTTTGTGAAGTTGTTTTAGCTATTTGAAGGCCTGTGCCTTTCCATATAAATTTTAAAATAAAGGCTGGGGGCAGTGTCTCATGCCTGTAATCCCGGAGCTTTGGGAGACCAAGGTGGGAGGATCCCTTGAGGCCAGGAGTTCAAGACCAGCCTGGCCAATAATAGCAAGACCCTGTCTTCACCAAAAATAACAAAATTAGCCAGGCATGGTGGCATTTGCCTGTGGTCCTAGCTAACTGGGAGGCTGAGGTAGGAGGATCCCTTGAGCCCAGGAGTTCAAAGTTGCAGTGAGCTGTGATCACACCACTGCACTCCAGTCTGGGTGACAGAGCAAGCCTCTATCCTAAAAAAACGTAAATAAATAAAAATAAAAATAAGTTAAGCTTTTTGATGTTTGCAGAAAAACCTTGCTGAGATTTTTATAGGAATTGCATTAAATCTATCCATCAATTTGGGGAAAACTGATGTCTTTACTATGTTGAGTTTTCCAATCCATGAACATATATGTATCTAGACTTATTTAGGCCTTCTTTTATTTATTTCATTATTTTGTAATTTTCATCACATAAGCCTGTATCTGCTTCATTAAGTATATACCTAAATATTTCATTTTTTTGTAATGATTATAAATGGTATTGTTTTTTAATTTTGGTCTCCACATGTTAATGGTTAGTATATTAAAATTTGATTGATTTTTGTGTATTGTTCCTTTATCCTGAGTTCTTGCTGAACTCATATGTTAGTTCTAAGAATGTTTTTCCATATTACTTGGGATTTTCTGCAGCTAATAGTTACTTGCAAAAGTGGAAATTTTATTTCTTCCTTTCCAGTCTCTCTATATATTTTTTCTTGCTTTATTCTGGCAAGAATTCTAATACTACGCTGAGTTAGAGGGGTGTGAAATCAATATCGTTGCCTTGTTCCTGATCTTAGGGAGAAAGCGTTTAGTATTTCACCATTAATTATGCTGTTAGCTGTAGGTTTTTGCAGATGGTTTTTATCAAGTCAAGAAATTTCTCCTCTATTCCTAGTTTGCCAAGAGTTTTTATCATGAATGTGTGTTGGATTTTGTCAAATCCTTTTTCAGCATCAACTGACATGATCATGTCATTTTGCTTAGTAAATTATTTTTTTAATTTCCAAGTTGGAAAGAATGATTCTCATAAAATGCCCTGGGGCTAATGATGTATGCATAGAGCATTTTCAGTGATATCTAAATAATGCAAGATAAATTAAAAGATAACGATAAAATTTTCCTTCTCCTAAGTTCTTTATACAAGTATTGCTCTTTTTCTATTAACTACAGCTACTGATTAGCTTGCTGAAATTACCTTTCTTTTAGTAAATTACCATTCTTTTAGTTTTATGATTCCTAAATATTACCAGACTAAATACACATTTTAATTTAGATTAAGCTGGGTTTCAAATTAGGATAACTAAAGTGAGTCAAATTAAGTGAAGCAACTAAAAACAAACAAAACAATAAAAAACCTCATTACAAAAACTACTAACTTTTTTCTTGTAAAACATAAATATTATACCTGAAGTATTGTACACATTGGAGATTAGGGAGTAAAATAATAAACACTGTTTACTTTTAGAGAAAAAGACAAAACAGGTTCGTCTGAAACCTAGTAGAATGTTTTTACATGAATACACTGCTTTGGAGCAATTGTGTATCTGCAGCTTTATAAATTACAGTAAGGCTGATTCCAAAAAAGGATAATGCATTTCTAGCCCTGCATCCCTGGGTGGTAGAAAGGAAGCTGTCTAGGTGTGCTCGAATTTCCCTAAGGCACCAGCTTTAAATGTCTTTGTATTCTGCTTCCTGTAGTTTCCAGTAAAGCTTCCTTCAGCTGCAGCCTAAAGCCACAGATGGCTTGCTGGAAACAGGAGAGGGCCTGAAGTCAAGCCAGTCTGTATCTGCTCGTACAGCACACTGTGCACCTTCTCAGTAGTGGTCAACCAGAGACAGGCAGAGATACTATCCAGACAACCTCAGGAAAATGTCAGCCGTATAGAATGTGAGCCACAAAAATGTCAATTCTCCAAATAATGATTTAAAAATGTATCTAACTCCACTGAAGCCTTCGAGATGTTTTATCCAAGAGAATGTAACTATTTTTTCCCTTATCAGATTGATCTTGGCTTAAGCTTCACTCTGAGGTTTAGTCATTGGAAGGTAATAATTCAGGATTCGGTTACCGATTTTTAATTAAGTAGATTTAGACCTGGATCTCACTCCTTATTATGGGGTTATATTTCCAATATTTCTTTAGCCAAAACATGTATTTTCTCTGAAGAAATGGCTCTTTTGTGTGAGAGAGATATTTCCAATTCAGGGAAGAAAGAGTGACGTTTGTTCTTGGACGCAGGGTGTGTCATCAGAGAGTGACTGACACACCTGATTGATGAGGCAGGTGCTGATGGATGAGAGCTGTCTAGGTGGCCCCAAAATGTGTAGTAATGAGGAAATGATGGATTGGTGATGCTAAACATATCAAGGTTAAGATGGCTTATACATTAAAAAATGCAATTTCAAAATATCAGTATGGTAAATATATATGACTTTCTGATGCGTGGGACTCTATTGCATAGTCACAGAGGTCGCCCTTGTTTATATTCCCCCACCATTGAAACACAGAAAGAGCAATGTGGCAATAGCTCCTTTTGGGAAAGAACCCTTCTTTTGTTAATATTGATCATTACGTTTTCTCAAAGACATATACACTTACATTTCATTTTGCATGGAGCAGTTTTGCTATATTTAAGCACTAAAGAGGGGGAATTAGAGCAATTGCTATTCCCTGCACTACACAAATAACTGTTCACTCATGTAATATGATATTCACTTCAAATATTTGATTATTTTGGCCAGGATTATCTCATGATATTTTTCTCCATGTTCTTTATTCTGTGTGTATATTTTGTGAATTGAACAATGAGCTCTATTATAGTTTGATAGCTCAAACAAGCTATTAATATTAGTTGTGTGTATTAGTCTGCTATTACCATGACAGTGCTACTTAACAAACCATCCAAAATTCAGTGTCTTATAATGAAAGCATTTGTTTTTATCACTTATGGGTCCACGGACTAGCTTGCCTGCCTCCGTTCCAAGCTGCGGGTTGGCTGTAGTTGGCTGTAAAGTTGAGTCTGGGTTCAAGTCTGCTCCACATGAATCCACTTTTTCTTTGAACCAGCAGTTACTCAGCACATGATATCTTAGTGGATCACAGGAGCACAAAGTCCTAGACAACAATAAAAACAAGAACAAAACGTAAGCACGTTTAAGGCCTCTGGCTGCTTCATGACCACTAACACTCATTCTAAAGCAAGTCGTAGGGCTAAGCCTAACATCAAGTGCACAGAAAAATATACTCTCCATTTTAGTGCAGTGCAAAGAGAGATACTGAAGAATTAAAAATCAGCCAGTTAAGCTGGGCATGGTGGCATGCACCTGTAATCCCAGCTATTCAAGAGGCTGAGGTGGAAGGATTTGCTTGACCCCAAGAATACGAGACCAGCCTGGGCATCATAGCAAGTCCTCATCTAGAAGAAAGGAAGGAAGGAAGGAAGGAAGGGAAGGAGGGAGGGAGGGGAGGGGAGGGGAGGAGAGAGGAGGGGAGGGGAGGGGAAGAGAGATAGAGAGAAAGAGAGAGAGAGAAAGAGAGAGAGAGAAAAAAGGAAAGGAAAGGAAGAAAAAAGAAGGAGTGAGGGAGGAAGAGAGGAAGGGAGGGAGGGAGGGAGGAAGGAAGGAAGGAAGGAAGGAAAGGAGGGAGGATGGATCAGCCAATTTACCACTCAATCCATGGCAAACACATCAGTGATTTAAGGATGCTTGTTCTGGGGTTCCCTGGAATGTGGGTGTGCTGCTTTATGGCATTAGTCATAGCAGTAGTACTACATAATAAGTGTGTGTAATGGCATTCACTGGGCCCAAGTACAATTGCCATCTTGCCCTTATGAACTTATTAGTAACAGTTAATAAACAAGTAGTGATAAATATAGCTTGAATGTTTAAAAATAACATTTAGTTTTTGAAGCTGATGATTAATAGAATAATGCCCAGCAACAGCATTTTCCTGTCTACCTACCTCCAACTCTTCAGTGCTCCTACCTGCAGCCCTCACCACAGCAATGTCCTTTCACCTGGTCTCATCTCCTTCAGTCTCGTTCCCTTGCATGTAAAATGCTGGTTCTGGATCAATTTTTAGATCAGACTTGATTAGCAAGTGCATCCTGATTCTACCACTTATTTGATTAAAAATCTTTCAACTGAATCCCATTAGCCAAAGAACACAGTCTGACAGCCAAACTCTGTATAATCCAGCATTGAAGGCCCTCTGTAGAAGACCCCATCCTGTTTTCCCAATCCTAATTCTCATTATTCTCCTTCATGTGCCCTATTCTTTTCTCAGAGTTATGCTTGCCCATGCATATAATGTAAATTCTTGCCCATTTAGCCTTGGATCAAGAGATTCTTTCAGGCTGGAATTGCCAATGCCAATTCCATTTCTACATGGTTTTATTCTATTTATGCTTCAAGACCCAGATCCAAATCACCTCCTCCTTGGAACAGTTGAGATCCTCATAGCCCAAAGTAATCTTCATCTTTTTGCAAAACTGTAAGACGTTTCTGCCTCTTTTACTGAACCTATCATTTTCTAAATTGCGTCATCATTATTTATCTATGTCTTACTACTAATGGACTATCACTTATCTTTTTCTACTTAAATACTAAATATACTTTCTTGAATATTGAAACAATATGTAATAAATAAATTTATCAATCCATTCATACCCTCAGTCATCGTTCTTCTGTGCTACGCATGCCAATAAGCTTAAGTGGTTTCCTTAAGTAACAGTCAGTTCACACTGGAATCAAAGCTGCTCAAACTCCACAAACTCCAACCCTCTCTTGAGTTTGCAGGCCCATTTCAGATTAGCAGAATCATTAGCAACATGTGGTGAAGCACTGCGTATTGCTTACGTTTCAGAATAATTTTGTCCTATATGACCTCTGTGAATATATCAGGGACTGGGCCTTTGGAAGCATTTCAACTTTGGGAAATGTCTGACTATGCAAATACTCTATAGTTTCGCCTGACTTAGAAGCTATGGACAGGCCAAGCCTGACCTACTAAGTAATGTGCCTGTAACAAAAATCACCCTGCACGTTTGCTATCTATCCATTGGATTTACAGACAGGGTTCAGGAGAGCCACCATTGTTCATGTTTACTGCCAAGGTCCAAGTACAAAATCTTAGCACCCCCTAATGTTGAAAGCAGTCTTTTCACCGTGAGCAGAAAATGGAATGAGAAAAATAGACTGAAGGCCAATCCCAGCGAAGTTTAACTTTGGAACTAGCCATGACCTATATTTGTGTAGAATACAAGCTTTATAGACATTAATTTCAGCACCAGTTTAATCCCTGTTCCTACTAGGGCTATTTTGAGCTTATTTCACCATTTCTTTCAAAATTGTCAATAAATTGTTCATCCCTTTATGCTCTTCTTAAATCATTTCTGAGCTGTCTGCTTAGGCCATGGAGTAGACAAAACTAAATCTTATGTTCTGAGGATTGTTTTTTTGTATTCTTTTATGGTAGACCGTTTAATCATCTTGAGATTATTCTTTATCTCTCCTTTGTATTTTTATTCTGAATTATAAAATTTTTATCTGAAAGAAGGCCTTTTTCTTCTATAAAGATTTTTTCCTTTAGCTTCTCATGTTTTGGAAAAGAAAAAGTTAAATATAGAGTGTGGCTGAATATAAACTGGACTGCAGTGTTAAATGCCTCTCAGCCTCTTTCTATCACACTGTGTAAATAAAAGATTTGTTGGCAGCAATTTTCTTGGTTTGTTGGGTAAATTCTTCATAAATTCAGTTTTCAGTCTGACAGTGTTCATGAAAGCGGAACATAAAAGTAAAACATATGCACATTTTCCACCAGCTTTATTATGCAAAGTACTTGATTTTGTATAAAACTGGATTTTTCAAGGCCAGGAAAATCTTCAATAAATCACATCAGCAATCCCAAAAACGTCTGTAGAACCCTATGTGTTTTCCCACTTCTTTCAGCAACTCCGTGAATAAGAAGGAGACACCTGAAGGCTCTGCTATGGAAGCAAAGAGCGAGGGAGGCAAAGATAGAGTGAGGAAGGGAAAGATAGACTGAGGGAGGCAAAGATAGAGTGAGGGAGGGAAAGATAGAGGGAGGGAGGGAGGGAAAGATAGAGGGAGGGATGGAAAGATAGAGTGAGGGAGGGAAAGATGGAGGGAGGGAAAGATAGAGTGAGGGAGGCAAAGATAGAGGGAGGGAGGGAAAGATAGAGGGAGGGAGGGAAAGATGGAGGGAGGGATGGAAAGATGGAGGGAGGGAAAGATAGAGTGAGGAAGGGAAAGATGGAGGGAGGGAGGGAAAGATAGAGGGAGGGATGGAAAGATGGAGGGAGGGAAAGATAGAGTGAGGAAGGGAAAGATAGAGGGAGGGAGGGAGGGAAAGATAGAGGGAGGGAGGGAAAGATAGAGTGAGGGAGGGAAAGATGGAGGGAGGGAAAGATGGAGGGAGGGAGGGAAAGATAGAGGGAGGGAGGGAAAGATGATGGAGGGAGGGAAAGATGGAGGGAGGGAAAGATAGAGGGAGGGAGGGAAAGATAGAGTGAGGGAGGCAAAGATAGAGGGAGGGAGGGAAAGATAGAGGGAGGGAGGGAAAGATTGAGGGAGGGAAAGATGGAGGGAGGGAAAGATAGAGGGAGGGAGGGAAAGATAGAGTCAGGGAGGGAAAGATGGAGGGAGGGAAAGATAGAGGGAGAGAGGGAAAGAGAGTGAGGGAGGGAAAGACAGAGTGAGGGAGGGAAATATAGAGGGAGGGAGGGAAAGATGGAGGGAGAGAGGGAAAGAGAGTGAGGGAGGGAAAGACAGAGTGAGGGAGGGAAAGATAGAGGGAGGGAGGGAAAGATGGAGGGAAGGAAAGATAGAGGGAGGGAGGGAAAGATAGAGTGAGGGAGGGAAAGATAGAGGGAGGGAAGGAGGGAGAGATGGGGCGGGTGGGGGGAAGGAAGAAAGAAAAGAAAAGAGGGAGGGAGGAAAGGAGGGAGCCCAGGAGGGAATGATCTGATCATGTTCTCAGAGTGTGACAGAAAATGGAAACTATGTTCTTTTTAAAAACCCTCCATGTACAATGTAAGGTCGGTTCTGTTTGGTCTGCATAGTGATGTCTTTGTTTTAATGCAGGGCCTCAGCAAGGATGTGGTGGTTATCTGACAGGCTCGAATAATACCTTTGCCTCTCCTGATTCTGATTCGAATGGAATGTATGACAAGAA
Source organism: Homo sapiens (assembly GCF_000001405.40). Taxonomy (NCBI): domain Eukaryota; kingdom Metazoa; phylum Chordata; class Mammalia; order Primates; family Hominidae; genus Homo; species Homo sapiens. The sequence goes on along the minus strand of NC_000010.11, from coordinate 16,851,352 downwards.
TTTAAACTGTGTATGGATCATAATTGCACCTGTAAACAAAGTAATTCACCTCACCTTCAATACATTTGCTCTGGAGGCAGCAAGTACTAGGCAAAGATGCCTTTATGATTATGTAAAGGTAAGGCTGTTTTATTTTTTTAACAGAGTCTATTCATCCCAGACTCTAATATAGTGTATTCCAGTTTATATCGTTACAGGAAGTCCTGCTAATTTTGAGTACAGGTGCTACTGCTTTTTAAAATGACCTTTTCTTCAGTGATGCTACATTTAATATTATAGATGCTCTATCTTCATATCAAATTAATCTTTAATATGGGTGACTCAAATATTTTGTGTGACTGGCTTCCAACATTAGCATTTAAATCTCCTATTCATCAATGTCTTGCAAAAGACGATCTATAGGAAGGTCGGTTTTCTGGAGAGAGATACTCAAAGGACCTTTGGCAAATCCTAAAATAAACAATGTCAGTGACACAAATAATCACCTCTTAATTTGTCTATTTCTTAGGCTTATAGATTTGCTTATCACATTATGTTTAGATATTAAAATGGTTCTGAAATCCCATTAAAAGTAAATAAAGGCTGGGCACTGTGGCTCATGCCTGTAATTCCAGCAATTTGGGACACCGAGGCAGGAGGATCACTTGAGGCCAGGAGTTTGAGACCAGCCTGGCCAACATGGTGAAACCCTGTTTCTACTAAAGACACAAAAAATTAGCCGGGTGTGGCGGCGGGCGCCTGTAGTCCCAGCTGCTCCAGAGGCTGAGGCAGGAGAATCGCTTGAACCCGGGAGGTGGAGGTTGCAGTGAGCTGAGATCTCGCCACTGCACTCTAGCCTGGGTAGCAGAGCAAGACTCCGTCTCAAAAATAAATAAATAAATAAAATAAAAAAGTAAATCAAGAAACTTCTGTTCAATTTTTAATGACTTTAATATTAAATTATTATACCTATCAGGTTATATAGGTTCAGATTACAAGTGTTAAGTAGCATCAATCAGTATTTACTACTGCACTCTCAGGGGAAAAATAAAAAGTATGGCAAGATTTGTATTTATGAGGAGCTTAAGTCTGATTAGAAAATTATGGGATGACACATGCAAATTAAGAATGCATAGTTCAGGATAGTCAGCATTTAAGCGCTAATGAATGCATTCGATGCAGGCTTGAAGCAATGTGCAAGCTTAGAAGGAAAGAAAGTTCATGAAACTCGTGTGATCAAGAATGACTTGATAGAGCGAGGGAAAACTTACTCAGGTCAGGAGAGAATTCAGGCAAGGTGAACATTTTCAAAAAGGCATAGGAATTGATACGTGCATGTTCTCGAAAGCGTAAAGAGGCTGGCTGTGTTGAAGCAGAATAGTGCTAAAGAGTAGCAAGAAATAAGATGGCCTACATAGAGAAATACCGAGATTACAAAGGATCCTGAAAGTCAAACTAATGACTTTAGACTCTGTGCGGGTGAAAATAAGGAGTGGTTGAAGGTTTTCCAATGAGTGAGGTGACAACAGCAGTAGCTAGGGAAGACTAACCTGAAATCAGCAGCTGTGGGAACTGGAAGGAGAGGAGGCTGGGAGGGCTCCAGAGAGAGGTCCCTCCTAGGTGAGAAGGTCAGTCTTAGACCTGGATCAGGGGTGCAGCCATGGCGGTGATGGCAAGAGGGGTGCAAGAGAAACTTAAGTTCTAGGATTGCAATAAACTTTAGAGAAAATAATTTTAAAAGAAAAGGAAGGAAAATTTGTGGAGGGAATACCCATTTGAGCACTTAGTTACATGCTTTTGTTTTTACTATGAAAGGGGCTAAGGTTGGGAGGCCAGAAAAATAACAGTGTGGTTTGGTGAGAGCAAGACAGACAAGTGAGACTGCAGTGGGCAGAGAATGGAACGGGGCTCCGGTGAGAAGACAGCTCCACGAATAGAGAGGACACAGCAAAGAGCCTTCCTTCCATCAGGAGAAAGGATGCTTTCTTAGAGGGAGTCAGCATAGATTTCAGAGAGTCAGGCTCTCAGCTCCAGGAAAAGTACCCAGGGAGGCAACTGGAGAAGGCAAAAGGCACAGGAAAAGAACAGACGCGTCATGAAAAGATAAATGTGAAGACCAGGAATAGTGTAGTATCCCTGAAGTCAAGGGGCAGGGGGATTCTTTTACAAAGCATGGGTGGTCAATACTATTGAATTGTAAAGTAGAGGCCAAGAAAGGGAAAGATGAAGAACAGCCTCATTGCACTGGATGACAACCATTTAAATAAAGTATTGGCACAGAAGCTGGATCAGAGGAGTTCATGAAAGACTAAAGATAGCAAGGAATGTCAATTCCAGTTTAATTCTCCTTTCCTAAAATGAGACCTGGCCGGCCGAGTGCGGTGACTCACGTCTGTAATCCCAGCACACTGGGAGGCAGAGGTAGGCAGATTGCTTGAGCTCAGAAGTTTGAGACAAGCCCTGGCAACATAGTGAGAACCCGTCTCTACAAAAAATACAAAACAATTATCTGGGTGTGGTGCTGTGCACCTACGGTACCAGCTTCTCGGGAGACTGAGGTGGAAGGATCCCCTGAACCCAGAAGGTATAAGCTGCAGTCAGTCGTGATTGCATCACTGCACACCAGCCTGGGCAACAGAGTGAGATACTTTCGCCAAAAAAAAAAAAAAAAAAAAAAAAAAAAGGCTGGGAGAGACCAAAATGACTAGAGCAGTCCTAAAGCTGAATTCAAAACTGTTTGAGAGCTCTCCTGGCTTTACAGAAAGGTAATAAGGTTTAGAGACGGAGAGTATGGGGACTCTAACCCAATTTTGCTGTCAGACAAATTTCCTAATCTCCCCGATTCCTCATCATTTCGTCAATTTTTCTTTAAATCACATAATAGTACCTACTGTGAAAGGCAGTTTTGAGGATTGAAATTATGTGTACTAGAGCGTTTAGCACTGTGCCTGACATAAATTGTAAACAAATTTACCTCCCTTTTTTTCCCCGTTGGAGTAATTCCAAATAGGCATGGGCACTATGGAATTTCTTTTTCTTAAAAACTAAAAATAATGGATTTGCATATAAAATTACAATTTTAAATTCTTATAGAATGATTTGAGTATGGCCCTGCTAGGAGAGTTGACTGGATTTACTCTCAAGATCCATTTTTATGGAGTGTGATTTGATAATGTCATCAAAACAGCCTGTCATTGTCTGAATTTCCGCAATTCATTCAGGCCAGAAACTGCAATATCAAAAACAAGGAGTTATTTTCTTGCTTCAAAATAAAATATCGTTTTTTTCAAATAAATTCTGTTCAGAACTATTCTTGTTTTCCCCCTTGGAAAAGCAATTTCCTTCCATTGGCAACGTTTCCAACTACCACTAAACTGGCAGATCAAAGAATAGCCCTTGGAATGTGGAGCTTGGAGCTTTCTTTATTAAAGAGATTTTTCTGTGATAAATGGGACGGTTGATTCCTTTTAGATTTTTTTTTAGAGATTATAATCAAATCACTTTTTAGAAAAGCTAATTTAACTGAACTCTGTGGTAGATACACAAGTAAAATCATACCAATTCCATTATTCATTCATAATTCTATCATGATCGTTTGTGAAAGGGTTGACTTGGAGAGTAATTACGGTAACTGAATCACGTAGTGAATTGTGCATGTCACTGAGCAGTCTCTTTTGAAATCCACATCGCATCCATTGCAGGAGTTAGTTGGCAAGGGTATGTGCCAGGCCCTGTACCAGCATCACTGGAGATGTAGAGAGTTAAAGACATCTCTTGAAGAGTTCAAGCTTCTTGAGGAGCTGCTAGTAAAGTGTAGGAGACTGACATGTAAACAAAAAACATACATTTAAATAATTACATTTAAAGTACAAATAAAATACATTTTTTTTTTTAGTTGGAGTCTTGCTGTTTTGCCCAGGCTGGACTGCAGTGGTGCTGTCTTGCCCAGGCTGGACTGCAGTGGTGCTATCTCGGCTCACTGCAGGCTCTGTCTCCCGGGTTCACGCCATTCTCCTGCCTCAGCCTCCTGAGTAGCTGGGACTACAGGCGCCCGCCACCACACCCAGCTAATTTTTTGTATTTTTAGTAGAGATGAAGTTTCACTGTGTTAGCCAAGATGGTCTCGATGTCCTGACCTTGGGATCCGCCCGCCTCGGCCTCCCAAAGTGCTGGGATTACAGGCATGAGCCACCACGCCCGGCCAAACACATTTAAATAACGGACATTTTTTTCACATTGTATAACGTGTTGCATAACATGACAAAAATCATAAATAGAAACAACATAGAAGGGCAGAGCAGAAGAGGCTCTGATTGGCTTTGTTTTGGCTAGGAAAGGCTTTCTAGAGGGTGATGGCTGAGCTGGAATTTACAAAATGAACAGAAACTCACTCCCTTTTGTTATCCTTTACGAAACTGAGAGGAGCATGAACCTAGCTGACTTTTTCTGCCAGGAAGTATGGAACCAGCAGAGAGAGGTCCTCATCCTAACATTGCCCAGTTTTTCCTCAACCCCATCCGTGCCCCTTTTCTTTTTCTTTTTCTTTTCTTTTTTTTTTTTTGAGACAGAGTTTCTATCTTGTCACCCAGGCTCGAGTGCAATGGTGTGATATTGGCTTACTGCAACCTCTGCCTCCCGAATTCAAGTGATTCTCCTGCCTCGGCCTCCCAAGTTGCTGGGATTACAGACATGCACCACCATGCCCAGCTAATTTTTGTATTTTTAGTAGAGACGGGGTTTCACCATGTTGGCCAGGCTTGTCTCGAACTCCTGACCTTAGGTGATCCACCTACCTTGGCCTCCCAAAGTGCTGGGATTACAGGTGTCACTGCCCCTTTTCATAGCCAATATTTTGTAATCCTTCCTTTCCCACCTGAAGTGAATGTCATCTATGCTATAACCTACCCATAATGTAATTTCAGAAAATCACTGTACTATCCCAAAGGCAATGAAAAGGAGAAATAAAAGGAAAGTATATAAAATAGTGTGTCTTCGTATATGTAAATACTCTAACACTGCTACACAAAGTCACATAATAAAATAGATTCCTTTTATATGTAGAATGGTGGTGAATAAAAAGTATAAATGTAAACAAATACGGGTGGGTTATATTTGCAACCCGCATGCCAATAGCAGCATCACCATCTGCAAGATAAGTTTCCAGAATGGTGGAAAAACTCAAAACAAACATTTCTAAACCAAACAAAGTACAGTCTTCCCTCAGCTTACACAATAATTGCATTTCTGGAAATTTGGTGCATATCAAAACTGTGCAAAAATATTTTTGTGTTTATATATAAAATGGACTTAGGTTCTGGGATCAAATAATTATAAACAAGTTTTTTTTTACACAAATGTCTGACAGGACATTCAAAAGTTATGTGGGACAAAAATCTTCACTTTGCAAAACTGTCCTGTGAATTACTAAATGCCAGTTATAGGCCCAAATTATAGTGATGACCCAAAAACCACCACACTTGTGCAAAACACTCCCTATGGGGTGGTATTGACCTCATTGAGAAGGTCTGACTTAATGCACCGGGCTTAACCATTCAGTCTGTGTCAGACACTGGAGCTGAGGAGGGGCTGTCCATCTTTGGGGAGAGGATCAGCAGTCTATGGAAGGCATCACGTTCCTATCCACATGAGGTCGTACCTACTATTCATTCATTCTTTCATTCAGTTCAGTGTTAATTAGCATACCTACTATATTCTAGACATTGCTGCAAGAACTAGAGAAGAACATTGAGATTTTAGAAAACAATACTAGGAAAACTCCTGCTCTTGTAGAGCTGATTCTAATCATTGCTTCTTTGTGGCTTTTTCCCAGACATCTGGGACTAGTATAACTTTTTTCTCCAGAAGATTCTGAAATGGGTCAGAGTTTAGCCCCAAACTGGAAAAGTCACTCTCTATTCTTCTTCCCATACTAAATTATGCCCTGGCATGTTGCCCAGCAGACCTCATCAGAGGTTCTGCAATAAGATCAAAGAATTCATGAAGATACTCTAAGATTCTGCTCCCAGTAAGAATATCAAAATCCTCTTGTGATCAAATTCCCAGGAAAATATTAAAAGATAAAGTCCTAAGGATATTAATGTATGAAATTATTACCTTTGAAAAGAATTGTAGTCCAATATCAAAGTCTATTGCCCTTGTGCATTAAAAGTTCATAGAAATTAAAATCCAAAAATTTTCTTTCCCAGTTTTTCTAACTGCTCAAGTCAATAGCTGGGTGAAATGTGGGATTTTGCCGTGGTTGTAGCAGAGCCTGCCTGCCACTAAGTTATTTGTACAATGCCTTCAGGATCTTTAGCAGATTCTAAAATGATCAGATTTCTAAAAGTTGAGAAAATATAACATTCTTCTCAGCACTTACCCACATCCACAAGACTTAGAACGTAATTCAAGCTCCAGGTCCATCGCAGTTGTGCCAGGAAATGTTTGCTCCCAGAATGTGGCCCGTAGCTGCGTATAATGGTGTAGATCCTAAAGGCACCATTTATATCCCAGTTTATATATGATTCCCCCTCCTCATCATTGGATAGGGCGTCCCCTGCAACGCATTGTAGGGCAACCTGGCAAAAGTCTGTAGTGAAGGTTTAGTGTTATCAGAGAACAAGAGAGCAGATAGAGATCTTGGGTTTGAGGCAGAGGAGTTTAGAGCCTCCTATGTCAGTTATCCCGAGGCCACAAGCTATTTCAACTCACTTAGGAGAAATCTTACTGTGGCAATGAATGAACTAACACAAGACCAGCTTGGGGCCAGGTATGTATGTCATTTCCTTCCATCCAGCCCTGGCTTCTGCCTCCTACCTTCCTTCACATTTACCAGTTATCCATTTAAAACCCAAATCTGATCTTACATCACGTAGGATCAGATCCAGACTCCTTGGATGAAATGTATGGAACTTCACAGCTTTGTTTGTTGGACTTCGTCATTTCTCCTGTTCTCTCACCCTGGCCTCCAGGGCCAATGAAGGGGGTCAGAAGTTGTTGACACGTGCCATGCATTTCACACTTCCATGGCCTGGCATTTATTACTGTCTGGCTGGGATACCCTTCCTGTTTTGTAGGTCTGGAAGGTCTTTTTTTTTTTTTTTGGGGACAGAGTTTCGCTCTTGTCGCCCAGGCTGGAATGCAGTGGTGCGATCTTGGCTCACTGCAACCTCTGCCTCCCGGGTTCAAGCAATTCTCCTGCCTCAGCCTCCCAAGTAGCTGGGATTACAGGCCTGCGCCACCACATCTGGCTAATTTCGTATTTTTAATAGAGATGGGGTTTCTCCATTTTGGTCAGGCTGGTCTCGAACTCCTGACCTCAGGCGATCCGCCTGCCTCGGCCTCCCAAAGTGCTGGGATTACAGGAATGAGCCACCACGCCCCGCAGGTCTGGAAGGTCTCTACTTACATTTAAGGGCCAACCCAAATGTCTGTCTCCATCACGTGGGTTCTCATGATACACTCCCATTATTTTATTGTAGCACTTATTTTTCTCTATTTTGTATATAATTTATATACACATATATTTATGTGTATGCATAGTGTATGTGCATATTACACAAATATATGTATTTGTATATTTAATTTGTAGACCTTTACTCTCCTTTGTTCATGAAGGGGTCTTATGTCTTGAAGATCTGGAAAGGGCTTTACATGTCCTTGTATGCCTGGGATCTAGCACAGAGGCCTGGCATACAGGTCCCAGAATAAAAATGCTTGCTAATATAAATGTGATCATAAAGACAGCAATGATTATCATGAAATTTTAACTTGTTTACCAGAAAAAGTGCATGACCTAAAACTTGGCAAATGTGCTCTTCCATGAAACAAAGGGGTGAAGATTAGAAAACTCGAGTTTCATCTGATTCTGAATTAACTAAAATCATGTTTAAGTTGGAAAGACAGTGCCATCTAGTGGTGCATTTCTTTTTCTTTTACAATGACTGGTTTTAGTCATTCCTGTCTTACATAATCCTAGCACTTTAGAATAATGTCAGTGGTCATGGTCATGGCTGTTCTGAGGCCTTGAACACATAGCTCTGTTATGAATTGAATATTTGGAGTTAGATACACACAGACACTCATTTTAGAAGTACAATGGAGATTACTCAGAAGAAAACATTTTCTAGTTATGTGTTTCAGGGAAATCCAAGCACCCACTATTTCGATGGATGTTTCTAGAAGGGAGCCATGGTTGGGAATTGTTCTGGGTGCTGGCGACACCACAGTGAAGAAGTCAGACAGAGTCTCTGTCTCCCCACACGTGGGACTTACATCCTTGTTGGGAAAGAGACCGGACAAAGTAAATAAACAATAAATAAGATCAGTTTTGATTATAATAGGAAAATAAAACAGGATGATGCTATGGGAGGGCAACATTCAATAGCATTGGCTTCTCTGAGGAGGTGACATGTCAGGTGAGGGCCCATGACAGGGAGTCCTTAGCTGTGTGGGTTCAGCTTCACCTGAGGAAGGAAGAGCAGCAGGAACAGGGCTGTGGACAGGAGTCCTCCTGGGATGAAGGAAGTGCAGCTAGCAGTGAGGTGTGGGCAGCCTGGGAAGGAGGCACAGGCCAGAGCAGCTGGGGCTTGCAGACTGTGGGAGGGAGCTGGAATTTTACTTTAGGTGCAATGGGGATCTGCCGAAGCATTTTAGACAGAGCAGGAGCATCACCTCATTGGAGTTTGCAGACATGCAGGCAGTTCAGTGGAGAACACTATGGCTGCTCCGGAATTAGGCCTATTAAGAAGATGTTTCAGTGGGAACAGGTGAAGGACGATGGAGATCACCTGGAGATGGAGCCCTCTGGGATATATTTTGAAGGTAGATTGGAGTAGTTGTGGAGTGAAGAGAGAGAGAGAGGAATCAGAGATGACTAAAGTTGTAGGCTTGAAACATTGAGGTAAAGATGGCTCTGGGAGAACAGTTTTGGGAGGGCTAGTGGGACAGAGGAATCAAAGCACTTGTTTATTTATTTATTAGATATTTATTGAGAGCCTCTCACGTGCAGACACTTTTCTAAAAACTGGGAACATGGCAGTGAGCAGAAAAGAAATCTGTACATTCATGGAACTTGTATTGTCTTCAGAGAGAAAGCCAATGAAATAAGCAAGTTTAGCCTGGACAACATAGGAAGACCCCATCTCTAAAAATTTTTTTTAATTAGCTAGGCATGGTGGCATGCACCTGTAGTCCCAGGTACTTGGGAGGCTGAGGTGGGAGGATCACTTGAGCCCAGAAGTTCAAGGTTGCAGTGAGCTATGATTGCAGCACTGCACTCCAGCCTGGGCAACAGCGTGAGACCTTATTTCAAAAAAAAAAAAAGCTAAATATGTAGTATATAGAAGAAGGTAACAGTTGCTGTGGAGAAAAATCAAGCAGGAAAGGAGATGGGAATGTTGGGAGAGTTTACATCTGGAAGGCCTTATTGAGTTGGGGATATCTTTTTTTTTTTTTTTTTTTTGAGACAGTCTTGCACTGTCACCCAGGCTGGAGTGTAGTGGCACCATCTCAGCTCACTGTAACCTCCACCTCCTAGATTCAAGTTATTCTCCTGCCTCAGCCTCCCAAGTATATGGGATTACAGGGGTGTACCACCACGCCCGGCCGAGTTGGGGATATGTGAGTAAAGACCTGAAGAAATGCACGAGGACAAACTATGTGGATATACAGGGAAGAGCATTCCAGGCAAAGTGAACAGCAAATGCCATACCCAAGAAGCAGCAACACACCTGGTTTGGCTCAAGAAGCGGAATCGAACAAAGTGAAGACAATAAGAAATTAGATTAGAAAGGTCAGGGGTGGGAGAGGAGAGAAAGCCATTGTGATGCCTTTGGCTGTTTGATTGAGTGGATGGGAAGCAGTTAGGAGGATTTCAGCAGAGCAGTGACATGGTGTGACTTACATTTTAACAGTATCCTCTCGATGACATTTTGAGGATACACTAAAGAGGAACACGAGCAGAATCAGGGGCTTCATGGGAGGCTGCAGTGATCATCTAGGCAAGAGATCAGAGCAGTTGGGGCCATAGTGTGAGTCGGTGCAGAGGTTAAAGTAGCAGTGGGTGAGCGGACTCTCATAACACCTTCTTTTAAAAATCATATATTTCCCAAAGAGGAAAAAAATGTTAGGCGTCATAACAGGTTTTTCCTGAAAGTCATAATATAATCAATCCAATTATAATTCTGTTCCTAAATTAAGACTACCTCTAAGAAAATCAATGTAAAAATGTTTACCGTGACCTATTGCAACTTCGCGTCCAATTTAGTGTGAAATATGCAATTTTTTGTAAGTAATGGAGAAGTAATGAATTGTTTTTCTTCTCAGTTATATGATGGGGATAGTGAAAATGCGAACTTGGCTGGAACGTTTTGTGGTTCCACAGTACCTGCTCCTTTTATCTCTTCTGGTAACTTCCTTACGGTTCAATTCATCAGTGACTTAACATTAGAGAGGGAAGGATTTAATGCTACATACACCATCATGGACAGTGAGTAAATAGAAGCATTTTTATATGTTATGAAATACACATGTATTTATGCACTGAAAAGAATGCCCTGCTTATTATATCGAAATTTCAATGTTAATTACTAAACTCAATGTCAATTACTATCTAAACTCAATGTCAATTGCTAAACACCATGTTAATTACTGTATGTTTAATCTGTGGTACAAATTTGATACAATCTTTAGTCAAGGATATAAACCCTGAATTCTTAATAGAGTAATGAAAATATAGCTCCTCCGGGGTGGGAGGCAGGGAAGACAGAATTGCAAAGATTGCCTGAGATGAGACATGAATAAAATGTCTCCTGTGTTGCTTTTTCCTCCCTCTCCAGTGCCTTGTGGTGGAACATACAATGCAACTTGGACCCCACAAAATATTTCATCACCCAATTCATCAGACCCAGATGTCCCATTTTCCATCTGTACTTGGGTCATTGATTCCCCTCCGCATCAGCAGGTCAAGATAACTGTGTGGGCATTACAGCTGACCTCGCAAGACTGCACGCAGAATTACTTACAGCTTCAGGACTCACCGCAGGTAACAATTATAAGATGAATGGCAGTCACATCTAGTGACCTTTTCACCAGTATTTGCAAAACACTTGAAGTAATGAAGCCATGATGAAATAATTTTCTTTTTTTTAATTATACTTTAAGTTTTAGGGTACATGCGCACAATGTGCAAGTTTGTTACATATGTATACATGTGCCATGTTGGTGTGCTGCACCCATTAACTCGTCATTTAACATTAGGTATATCTCCTAATGCTATCCCTCCCCCCTCCCCTCTTCCCCCACCCCACAACAGGCCCCGGTGTGTGATGTTCCCCTTCCTGTGTCCATGTGTTCCGATTGTTCAATTCCCACCTATGAGTGAGAATATGCGGTGTTTGGTTTTTTGTCCTTGCGATAGTTTGCTGAGAATGATGGTTTCTAGCTTCATCCATGTCCCTACAAAGGACATGACCTCATCATTTTTTATGGCTGCATAGTATTCCATGGTGTGTATGTGCCACATTTTCTTAATCCGGTCTATCATTGTTGGACATTTGGGATGGTTCCAAGTCTTTGCTATTGTGAATAGTGCCGCAATAAACATACGTGTGCATGTGTCTTTATAGCAGCATGATTTATAATCCTTTGGGTATATACCCAGTAATGGGATGGCTGGATCAAATGGTATTTCTAGTTCTAGATCCCTAAGGAATCACCACACTGACTTCCACAATGGTTGAACTAGTTTACAGTTCCACCAACAGTGTCAAAGCGTTCCTATTTCTCCACATCCTCTCCAGCACCTGTTGTTTCCTGACTTTTTAACAATCACCATTCTAACTGGTGTGAGATGGTATCTCATTGTGGTTTTGATTTGCATTTCTCTGATGGCTAGTGATGATGAGCATTTTTTCATGTGTCTTTTGGCTGCATAAATGTCTTCTTTTGAGAAGTGTCTGTTCATATCCTTCGCCCACTTTTTGATGGAGTGGTTTGTTTCATGATGAAATAATTTTCTAAGTTACTTCCAGCTTAATGTGTTTTTCATCCATACACAAAGCCCTCCAATCAGGTGTGTCGAGAAACTTGAACTTGGTCCTGCAGGTCCAGAGCTCTCAAAGCTTCATGTGCCTAAGAATGCATTAAGATGCATCTTAAAAGTGCATCCTCCCTGGCCCACCCTCAGAGACCGAATCCCCCATATAACACCCATTTATCTGAATTTTTGACAAACACCTCTGGTGTTTTGGTGCCAGTACCAGAACTCCATGGACCATGCTTGGAGAAATACCTCTAGTTAGTGGGATTTATGTATAGGTTGAATTGAAAGGGTCAGTACAGAACACAAGAGAATCAGTGAAGAGGCTGTTTGGCACTAGTCTGATAGGTTTATATTCATGGTAATATAAGAGAGATAAAAAGAAAAGGGCTGGGTGTGGTGGCTCATGCTTATAATCCCAGCACTTTGGGAGGCCAAGGCTGGTGGATTACCTGAGGTCAGGAGTTCAAGATCAGCCTGGCCAGTGTGGTGAAACCCTGCCTCTACTGAAAATACAAAAAATTAGCTGGGTGCAGTGGTGTGCGCTTGTAATCCCAGCTACTCAGGAGGCTGAGGTAGGAGAATCGCTTGAACCTGGGAAGCAGAGGTTGCAGTGAGCCAAGATCGCGCCACTGCACTCCAGCCTGGGTGACAGAGTGAGACTTCGTCTCAACAACAACAACAACAAAATCCATTTTGAGCTTTAAAAAAGGCTGAGTCTGAATTTCCTCTGGAATAAGATGTTGAGGAGACAGTTGGACACAAAGTGGGTTGTTGACCAAAGGCCCAAAGATTTTTGTGCATCATCATTATCATGATAGGTAATTGAAAAATGAGAAGAATGAGATTATCTGGGGAAAATATGCAAAGGGATTGGCCACGAACTGAGGATGGATACCAGGAGAACATCTGAGAATACCTGGATTGTCTTTCTGCAGTTTGGGGAGCAACTAACCCTCCCCAGTTCATTCCAGTAAAATGTCATGGTCAAAGCCCCATATGCTGGACTAGTAGAGTATCTGTTGTCTTCTGAGTTTTCAGGGTCCCCTTCATTATAAATCTGGGGTCCCCTGCTTCTCATGTGGTCTTGCTGGGGAAAGAAAAGTCCAGGTTGTGTGACTCCAGAGTGGAGAGGCGTGAGATGTGCTGGCAGCTGAATAGACCCTGGACTTGCTGAGTTTGGTGCAAAGCATATATGCTGAGATGAGCTCCCAAGGTGGACAAGATGCTAGATTATCGTCATTCCATTGGTAATGGTTTTCAGGACAAAATCTCTATTACCCATTGGTACCCTAGAGGACTTACAGCCAAGTGGAACAGGCCCTTTGGGTGAAAGCTCTCTCAATTTTCCCTGGCTTCACGAAGCTAAGACAATGGGGATCAGGGTGGACCACTCAGCGGGGCACAGAATGGCACTTTCAGGGCACGAGACACCGTCTGAAACATAACAGCAGCTGGAGCAGCCTCGAGTAAGACCCAGTGTTTGTCATGACTGAATAATGTTTTCCACTGAATGAATACAGGAAACAATCAAGGGTTTCGGACTGGGTAGGTAGGGAGGAAAGACAAACATTGACGGATGAGCTGGGAGAAACTGGGATTCTCGGGGTATCCAAGAGTAGACAGAGCAGCCCTAATTGGCAGATCATGAAGGAATGATGTGTAGGGTGGTTACGGAGGATGTTCAGTGGTTAGCTGGCACTGGAGATGAACAGAGATGCAGAGATAGAAGGCCCTAAGGTTAAGAAATATGAAGTTGAGGGTGTTTAATGGCTTGTCTATAAAAACACAGAAACCTCTAAAGGGTTCAGAAAGGAAATCAGGGGCAGGAGATGACTATGAGCTGAGACACCTCAAGTCTTTCATAAATGAAGGGAAGTAACTGGGAGAAAAGTAAATGAGAGTGACGATAATGGTAAGAATATCTTTGGCCAGATGTAGAGACCGTCGAAGGAGAACCAGCTTTGAGACGAGGATGGAAGCTGCAGTGAGGAATGTGGAGCCTCCCTCCCTTCCCCCGAGGCTGGCCCCCCACCCTTCCCACTCAATGAACTGTGGAGCATGGGTAAAGAACAGCCTCTACCAGGAGGCTGCTGGAGAACCAGGTTTTGCTAAGGCCACAAAGTGGAAAGGTGGGGGATGTATACCGAGAATGACTGACAGTGCAGTTAAAGTTCACAGGATACAGCAAAGTTAGACAAGGACCAAGAGCAGGAGACAGTGGGGAAGAGGGGTGGAAGCCCCGAGCAGTTACAGGAGTTTTGCAAGCAGAGACGGGTGGGGTGTTTCAGTAGGTTCCTAAGAACTGCAGATATTAGAGACATTCCTGTGACAGGGAGGCTGCAAATACCCTGACTTTGGTACAACTTGTTTTTACCCAAGAACTGATGGGCATTCGACTGCATTTACTCCAGGCTTTTGAGAGGTGATGAGGGCTGCCCTAGTGTTACAAAGGGGAACCGGTACCTCATGACAGGCCCCGGCTGGCTTGGGGGATGTACAGTGGAACCAAAGGCTCTGATTAGATTTGCTAAGGGGTAGCAAGGGCTGGATCAGGGTGATGGTGGTTGTTAGTCCCATGGAGCTCAGGACAATGGCAAAAGCCCCAGGAGGAGAGATCCAGTGAGCTCTCAAACAGCCTAGATCCTCAGAGCAATGGCACAGGCCTCAGCTAGGAAGTTGCATAAAAGGCGAGGGATCTTATTTTCAGCAGGGAAATGTCTGTGGTTTCAGCAGAAGCTTTGCCTCCCTTCCTCCTGCCCCTCTGGGAAGGTGCAACTTGCATCAATTCCAAGGCCAACGTGAGTCTTCTTGCAGAGCACTTCCAACAGCAGAGCTGGTTTCCATGGCTAAATATTTACACCATGCTTTTATATGCAGTCTAATTTCTGTTATGGCCTGTTCTCTTCTAAGACTAAATCTAACATGATTTGGCTCCCATTTCATTTCAGGGTCACGGAAATTCAAGATTTCAGTTCTGTGGCAGAAATGCTTCGGCTGTGCCAGTGTTTTATTCTTCTATGAGTACTGCAATGGTCATTTTCAAATCTGGAGTTGTAAACAGAAACTCTAGAATGAGTTTCACCTATCAGATTGCAGGTGAGGCCAGGAACTTCATCTTTTATTCAAAAAAGCTGCCATCATTACCATTATTCGTAGAATAATTACAATTATTTCTAGAATTGACTCCTGTGAGTAAATTAGGATTTGTTAACAAAAACCACATCCCTCTCTTAACTAGAACCCAGCCCAATTTAGCAAATTACTACAGTTGGTTTCTAAAGAGATAAAGAGAATATAATACTATCCAGGATGGTTAGAATGCTAGCATTTTCTTCAAAGTATATGTAGTTGATTTTAAAAATATGCCAATTATCTTATTAATTATACACTTAACCACATTGAATATACATTTTTATTTACAAGAAATATATATGTTTATTTACAAAAGCTTTATCAAAATATAATTCTCATATCATACAATTTACCCATTTAAAGTTTATATTTCAGAGGTTTTTAGTATTTTCACAAAATTGAAAATCTTAGAAAATTATTTTGTAAAAATCAAAAAGCCTTGAAAGAGTTACCTGATTATTATAAGAAGTTTATTTTCACAGAACACTTTATTTAGTACTTATTTTGAATTGACTCAAATGAAAGCTTCCTTTGGTTAAAACAAACGAAAGTACTTTTGGTATTTTTTTACCAAAAAAAAAAAAAAGGTAAATAACGATTTGCCACAAATAACTCAACAATGGATTTAAAATCCTTGTGCAAAACTCTGTCTTGGAGGTAGCATCCTTGTCGAAAAGAGAGTCTGAATGCTACTTCCACCTCAACGTGATCAGAAAAGTTCAAAGGATGCTCGAGTATTCGTCTTTAAAGGAGAAGCCTCCTGTGTCATGCTTCCTGTAGGCGTGTTTGTGTGAACGAGCTGTTGCATTGCACCTGTGTGTGCTGCTTGAGCAATTCACTTCACTGCTCAGGGTCTCAATTATCTCAAAGGTAAACGAAGAAGCTGGATTACTTTTTTCTAAAGTTTATCAAATGCAATGATCTTTTTGAATGATTCCTGTGAAGTTGAAAGAGCACTAAATATTGGAATGCGTACATTAATTATGCCTATTTTTCCTCTAAGATTGCAACAGAGACTATCACAAGGCATTTGGCAACCTGAGAAGCCCTGGATGGCCAGATAACTACGACAATGACAAGGATTGCACCGTTACTCTCACAGCCCCCCAGAACCACACCATTTCCCTCTTTTTTCATTCACTTGGCATCGAGAACTCAGTTGAATGCAGAAACGATTTCTTGGAGGTGATATGCATTTGAATATCGTTTGAATGAATTATTTAAAAGATGGTGGATCACTTAAGATTTTACACCTTTTATCTAGTGCTGCTAATATTATATGATTCTTATTTGTTTCATTAATTTATTCATTACCCTTTCATTCCCTAAACATCTACAGAGCACCAGTCCAAACACCGGAAATTGGGAACCTTAGGGCCCGCAGGAGACTCCTAGTCTGGCAGGAAGGACAGATGGGGTATAGCCAATTACAGCACAATGTGGAAAGGACTAACTGAGTCCAGCATGGGTTGGGGTTCCTAACTCAGTCTGGGAACTAGAAGGCTCAAGAGGGCAATATGTAAGTTGAGACCTAAAAGGATCAGAGGGAAGTCTAAGGACAACATGCTGGTTCTGTAAAATGAAGCTCAATGATACTAAATAGCTCACCTAATTTTCCTGACAGCTACAGTAAGTTTGGGGCATCGTCAACATCCTCTAAAGACAAGTGTTTCCTTGAATAAATGCTCCCTGGTCTCAGGGGGGTGTGGTCTGTCCTTTCTTCACCACAACTCCAGAGCTTGAATTTGGGCACAGAAATGACTTCACTGTTTGCCCATCGTCCACACACCCACCCCCCACTCCCACCCCAGGACACACTGAGAGAGAAGCCCCCTTGTGCCTGGAGCAGGCAGAACCATGCGCCTCGTGGGCCTGAAACTTTGGGGTCCTCCAGTGCCCCCGATGAGCTCCCTCTGTGCTCTTTCTGCCCCATCGCTGCATTGGGCATATGAGATGGAACATGAACATCATCGCTCATAGGCAGGAGATAGTCTGAATAAGCCTCATGTGATGTGGACCCAGTGTGTGGAACTCAGCCCCTGTGTTTTGCCAGAAAAACCCCAGAGCTCACGGGGTTTGAGCTTTGCAAGCTCTGTCGAAAATGCATTCATCCTTAGGAAATATACTTAGGTGGAACCTAAAAACCAAGAGCATAAAGATGCTGAGTTCCTCTGTGAGTGGAGTTTAAATCTAAACCTCATCCTGACCGTCTCTAAACTGGCTTTGTACCACACAAGAGTCTTCAGTAAAGTTTCCAAAAAGTGTGCTTGTTCCTCTACCCCTGATCTGGAGTTGTATTTTTTATTTTATTTTTTTTCTCACTGCCTCTTTAATCAGGTCTTCATTCAAAATAAGCTGCCCAAGAGGATTTGACCTTTGTAGCATAAAGAAATGTACCGGTGTAGGCAGCGGGCTCCTTTCATTCTGTGGGACGATTCTTTCTAGCGGGCCTCTGCTCAGCTGATAGTTTCTTGGTAGCTTCAGCCTTTGTTCCCAACAAAACATCTTCTGCTTCTTAGCACCAAGGGCTTTCTTTCTTTCTTTTCTTTCTTCTTCTTTCTTTTCTGCCCTGCAACCCCCCTCATCCGATTTGGCTCCTAGGGCTGCTGGCACCTTCTGCCCAGCCTGGCCAGGAAGGGTGTTCTGGCATATGGTCTTTGCATATGGGTTTAGCTTCAACATGATTCCTGATGCGGAGTTTTATCATCCTGGAAAGCTCTCCCCTTTGGAATTCATCTAAATCCTTTATTAATCAATAACCTTAACATATAGTGCCATAAATAACACTCGGAGGAAGCTCATGCCTTTTCTAAAGGAATACTCGCCACGACAGGAGACCGAAAGATGTATATAGCAGGGAGGAAATGAAGAGGCAAATACAGTTATTCTTTGTGCCGGTCAGGTTATTCAACTTGGACCTGTGTACCTCCCCCACCATGGAGATCCAAATATTTATATGAAGTGTAAAGCAGAAAGAATGAGGAGAGTGGGATCTGGAGGAAAGATGGAATAATCCCGTTAGGTTGGAGTCACAGTGCAACTAACTCTTAACTCACTCCAGCTTGAATGGACCATTATTGATCAGAGTCAACGTTTGCCATTTGCCTGATAGATGCTGGGAAGCAAAGCCTTGCTTTCCAGCCGTGGAGAGTGAGAATTCCTCCTCCTAGCTGTCCTTCATTACTCCACAGAATGGATCTGAAACTTCCTGTCCCATAAGCAAAGAAAGGAAACCACCGCTTAGGCCTGTAAAATGTAGCTCCATCTGGCTCTCAGTGGGAAGGCTGTGGGCATAGTTTCTTGGCAGCTGTACCAGGAAGCCTCAGCATTCCGTTCTTGTGAACTGCGGTGGGAACGGAAATGTCTGACTGAGAATTCTGACTGTGTTACTACCAAGCGAGGGCCGAGCTCTAGACCATGCTTGGAATCTGTTTTCATGCCTTCACCTCCCCTTTCAAGATCCTCTGATGTCCCAGAGATGCCCACTGCTCTAGGTGGCCCCATTCTTCCTAGGAGAGGAAAGTGAATAAGACAAGTTGTCAGCAGTGTCAGTGGAAATTAGTATCCTGCTGCTCCTCTCAGAGCAACGGCATTTTGAAAGAGGACCCTGAGGGAAAAACGCCCAAACTCAAAAGCGTGGTGCTGGCTATGGCAGCCCTCCCATCTACTAGTGGATGACTGGCTACTCTGTCATGGCAAGGTTACTTTGTTTAAACACTTAGCAGAATAATCCCCAAAGCACTAGAAAGGCATTATTCTCTCCCATGGGCTACTACATCGACCTAAAAGGAATCTCACCTGATCAACACAGCCCAGCAAGATGTCTTAACTTTGTGACTTAAGATACCAGCAATTAACCAAAGTTTAAACCATGGAATTATATAGGGAACAGAGGAACTTCCAATATTTTGAATACATAGATCAGTAAAATCAGCATTTCCGCATGTCAGGCTGGTTCCAACATACATTGCCCGCGTAACGTTTCCGTAAGAAGCGTCGAGAGCCCTCCTGGAAGCAGGGCTGGTTGTGAATGCAGGGTAGCAGCCAGGCTGGGGGACAGAAAGTGGTTCAGTTCACAGTGTAGTTCTCTCTCCCCATAAAACACAGGCTCATCTCCTGTTTTTATATGTGTCTACTCAAAAATGAGTTGAAACAAAAAAGCAACAAGGCCTCGGAATGTGTTTGTAAAACACATTTAACAACAGACATTGTATAGATTTATAATTCTGTCCTTTGCCCATACAGAAATTCCTTTCGTTCTGAACTTTATTATACTTTGCATTGTATTTTTTCATAGCCTCTTTACAGCCAAGTAATTTTCAATGGGAAACACGTGCACACACACACATACACAAACACACACACAATGAGAAAGGTGTAATAGTTGACTGGAAGCAGAGCAGGCAACATTGCCCCCGCCCATCTCCACCTTTTAAAAATTCACTTTACCTACATTCTCCAGAATGTTTCCCCAAAAGCAAAGGCTGCAGGATCACAGCACAAACTACGGTATAAAAAAGCTGCCTGGTGTTTTAATTGCTGTAGGTTAACAGGTATTTCTGAATCCAAATGCAAATGTTTTTTGATCTACACGTGGAACATTTTTCCCCTTTGCAAGTGAAGGTGACTTCTGCATGTATTTTCAGAAAACGCTTCATTCTTAACTGTATAAAAAGACAAAGCTTTTCCGACCAATGTCATCATTCAAATTGTCTCCATTTTAATGTATATACCTTAGAGAAGAAAGTGTAAGTTTAATAATGAATGACTCCTTCCTAAAGGTGAGAAATGGAAGTAACAGCAATTCACCATTACTGGGCAAGTACTGTGGAACTCTGCTGCCAAACCCTGTCTTCTCTCAAAATAATGAACTATACCTACGATTTAAGAGTGATAGTGTAACTTCTGATCGTGGATATGAAATCATCTGGACTTCATCACCCTCTGGTAAGACATTTGCACTTTGTACAGGAAAGCACTGTGAGAAAAACATGAGGTGTCTAATAGTAAAAGGCAAAGTAACTTTATATTTTTAGCTACCTGTGTACCTGATTAGTTTATGTTAAGAATAGAGATTTTAACATTGAAAGTACAGATTACTTTTTTTTTTTTGAAATGGAATCTCGCTGTGTCATCCAGCCTGGAGTGTAGTGGCGTGATCTTAGCTCACTGCAACCTCCACCTCCCAGGTTCAAGTGATTCTCCTACCTCAGCTTCCCAAGTAGCTGAGATTACAGGCATGCGCCACCATGCCCAGCCGATTTTTGTATTTTTAGTAGACAGAGCGTTTCCCCATATTGGCCAGGCTGGTCTCAAACTCCTGAACTCAGGTGATCCAACCTCCCAAAGTGCTGGGATTACAGGCATGAGCCACCGCGCCCGGCCAGATTACTTTAAATTTTACATTTATTCATTATTTCTGTTTATAAAAGAATATATATTCATATATGAAACATATATAAGGTAAGGTAGGAAGATTCAAAAATTCCTTGGTAAATTAAATTTTGTTAGACTTTTTGACTTTTGGCTTGACCATCAAGGAAGTTCTTTGAGAATTTAAAGAAAAATTTTTACCAAAAATCCAACTTATGAACACATTCTGGCATATATATGAGTAGTTGTGCTTCTCGCAGGCCCTGACATTTCTTGGCGGTTCTGGAGAGAAATTGCTTTTTTTAGGGTAGTAAGTATCTTCTCACATTTTTGGCTGGCTGTTTATCAAACAACTAAAGAAAATTTAAGTCATGTCAATACATTTAATTCAAGAGAGGAGGAATACCTTTATAAAATATCCCAAAATACCAAAATACCTTCAAAATAAGAAAGATAAACAGAACTCACTTTAAATATCTTAAGAAAAGCGTTCTATAAAGATAATCGTGGGTAATGGAATCTTGGCACCCAAAGGAAGCTTAAAGGTGACCTCCAATGCTCAAATTTTATCAACGAGCAAATAAAACACCAAGATTAAGCTAGGTGCTGTGGCTCACACCTATAATCCCTGGGAGACCAAGGTGGGTGGATCACCTGAGGTCAGGAGTTCCAGACCAGTGTGGCCCACAGGGTGAAACCCCATCTCCACTAAAAATACAAAAATTAACTGGGTGTAGTGGCACATGCCTGTAATCCCAGCTACTCGGGAGGCTGAGACTGGAGAATCACTTGAACTTGGGAGATGGAGGCTGTAGTGAGCCGAGATCACGCCACTGCACTCCAGCCTGGGTGACGGAGCAAGACTCCGTCTCAAAAAAAAAAACAAAACAAAAAAAACCCACCATGAACCCGGGAGGTGGAGCTTGCAGTGAGCCAAGATCGTGCCACTGCACTCCAGCCTGGGCGACAGAGCAAGACTCCATCTCAAAAAAAAAACCAACCAAACAAAAAAACCCACCAAGATTAATGAGTTGCCCAAAATGCTCCACTAGACTGAGGTGAAGGTGAGATTAGACCTCAGTGGTCAGAGGCCCAGCCACGTGCTCTGTAACTATGCCAGCCAGCTTCTTCCTGTCCCAGAGATGACCTGGATCTCCACAGATATATAGTCTAAATCATGACAGCCTTCATATACAGATTAACAAATTGAACAAATTAACACCAAAACTTGAAGTATTTGACCTTAAGTATGTCAGTTATTAGCCTGGTAAAGTCACTTTTATAATGAAGTCATTCCTGCCGTCACCTACAATAACGCACTCCCTCTTGGTTTAGTGCTGAATTTTACTTCTAATTTTACTTCACTCACATCACTGGCGTCAACTCTGGGCATGCAAAGATCTCTACACCATCGAAAGCACACAGACAACAACTTGATTTTCTCCCACAGTTACTTTATCAAGTTTGTTTTTTTTTTTTTTTTCCATTCTGCTCTCAACCCCCAATTTTCAAAGTACAGTCCTGGAGGAAGTTATCCCTGGGTTGTGATATGCAGGCAAAGGCACGTGTGTGGAGGATGGAAGAGGTGGAGGTGGCAGTGGGAAGAGAGGGGAAGAGAGGAGAAAGGGTGTAGCCCAAAGAAGAGGAAAAGGAAAAGGGATTTCTGCCTCCATTATTCTTGCAGAGTCTCAGCACCTTAAGAAAATAAAGTCTTATTGCCTAACAAGCCAGACTGGACGGCTTATATGCTGTTGAATCAAACTTCCTGTCCTGTTTTCCTTGCAGGATGTGGTGGAACTCTTTATGGAGACAGAGGCTCATTCACCAGCCCCGGCTATCCAGGCACATACCCAAACAACACGTACTGCGAGTGGGTCCTTGTTGCTCCTGCTGGAAGGCTTGTCACCATCAACTTCTACTTCATCAGCATTGACGATCCAGGAGACTGTGTCCAGAACTATCTCACACTCTATGATGGGCCCAACGCCAGCTCTCCATCCTCTGGACCATACTGCGGAGGCGTGAGTAAAACAAACATTTTATATTCCCATTTGTTATTTTTAGACAATAATGAGTCACTTAGTGTAGACTTTTTTTTTTTTTAAGATGGAATCTCGCTCTTGTCACCCAGGCTGGAGTGCAGTGGTGCGCGCAATCTCAACTCACTGCAACCTCCGCCTCCTGGGTTCAAGCAATTCTCCTGCCTCAGCCTCCTGAGTAGCTGGGATTACAGGTGCCTGCCACCACACTCAGCTAATTTTTGTACTTTTAGTAGAAACAGGGTTTTGCCATGTTGACCAGGCTGGTCTCGAACTCCTGACCTCAGGTGATCCACCCGCTTGGGCCTCCGAAAGTGTTGGGATTACACGCGTGAGCCACTGGGCCCGGCCTAGTGTAGACTTTCAAAGGCAGACACACTGCAGAGGAAGAAGCACAGCCTTTAACAAATTGAGCAGTTTTCCAACTTGCCTTTCTATTATGGGAGCATGAGTGCCATCTGGTGGGCATTGCATTAAATTACTATTAAGAGTTACAAAAATCAGCCCTGCGTCAGAATCACCTGTGGAGTTACTTACATTAGACTTCCAGTTCCCACCGAAACCCACTGAATCGGGATTTCCCAGGGAGGAGTCACAGCACGCTG